>NC_000004.12:179527441-179830471 GCF_000001405.40 Homo sapiens | reverse complement strand
TTAAATACAACCAAATCTGCTGGGTCATATGGTCCAAGGGGCAAAGCACCTTGCATGGTAACCTAAGTCTGTCACAAGGCCTCCTCGTGTTTTGAAACCTACTCAGAAATGGAAGGTTTTTGGGTCACTCAGTAAGTAGGGAAGAATAGCACATTTAGGCCAGGTATGGTGACTCGCACCTGTAATCCCAGCACTTTGGGAGGCCGAAGTGGGTGGATCACCAGAGGTCAGGAATTCGAGACCAGTCTGGCCAACATGGTGAAGCCCCATTTCTACAAAAATACAAAAAATTAACTGAGCATGGTGGTGTGTGCCTGTAATTCCAGCTACTTGGGAGGCTGAGGCAAGAGAATCCCTTGAATCCAGAAGGTAGAGGTTGCCATAAGCCAAGATAGTGCCACTGCACTCTAGCCTGGGCGACAGAGTGAGACTGTCTCAAAAAAGTCAGGGTTGGTGGGGCGGGTTGTGGTGGGGAGCAGAAATAAAGAATAGCACATTTAAATGAGAGACAAGATGCTTAGTGAGATTCTTTGGATTTTGGTGGCACCATATACCATATTTAAGTGTGCTAGCAAGAAGTCCCAGATACAGCAACTCACTCTTCACCCTGGAAGGACTATCAGCATCCTGCAGACCACTGGAGCTCTGCACATGTCACTGAAGTACTACACCTGAGAATCTTTGTCGACTTTATTTCCCACTCTTGGGCAAGCAGGTTTCTTACCAATGTGTTGGGATTAGTTGCTAGTTCCTGCTCATTAGGTCCAATCAGCATAATGTCATACAGGTAGTGGACCACTGGGCTATATTTTGGAAGGGAAAGTCAGCAAACCTCCCTGCAGACTAAGACATAACATAGAGCTAGAGTGTTGATTGTCCCTGAAGCAAAAAAAAAAAAAAAAAAAAAAGTAAAAATGTATTGCCAGAACCAAACTGATTCTTGTGGTCTGGTTAATTAACAGGAAGAAATTAAGAACACTCATCAGATCACTGATTGCCAGTTGCCAAGAGATGTGTTGATTTGCTCAAGCAACAAACTCACATCTGGTTCAGCAGTTGCAATTGAAGTCACTGCATGATAAACTTTATAATCTACTGCCATTCTCCAAAATTCATCTGTCTTCTTCATAGGCCAAAGATACAAGTTAAAAGAGGGATATAATGGGAAATGTCACCGTTGCATTTTTCCTATCCTCAATGATGGCACTAATCTCTGCAATCCTTCTAGGAATGTGGTATTGTCTTTAATTTACTATTTTTATAGGTAAGCAATTCGAGCGAATTCCACTTGTCATATAATAATTTTCACTCTTACAGATTAGGAAACTAATATCGCAATTCTATCAGTTTCGAAGTCTGAGTATGAGTATATCCTAATATGCATTCCAAACCAAGGACATAGCAACAAGGCAGATTCAGGGAACAACAGGGTTCACTATGAGATGGTCATAAAGCAA
The DNA here is from genome assembly GCF_000001405.40 of Homo sapiens. Classification (NCBI taxonomy): domain Eukaryota; kingdom Metazoa; phylum Chordata; class Mammalia; order Primates; family Hominidae; genus Homo; species Homo sapiens. Next base: position 179,829,014 of record NC_000004.12, on the reverse strand, counting down.
AACTCCAATCATCCTTTAATTTCCCGAGGTCCCTAATCTGACTGGCAGACAACAATAATGTATGGGGTACCAAAATCTGGTGTCAGTTCAGAGCCAGTGTCCAGTCATTCCTGAAATGTCTAATTTTTTCCCCTTATCCAATGTGGTCATTCTAGTAAGTTGTTACAGGTTCCTTTAAAAGAAAAGGCTGGAAGGAAGGTTAACATTATGAACATTTGACAGTGTAGCAGGGCCTTTCTGCACAATTTCTCAGCTTCCACATGGAAGGAAATCTGTGCCTGGGACCTGGCTGAAACCTAGGAATGGATTGAGGGCCTTTGATTCTGTTTTGGTGCTTCAAAGCAGATTGCTATTTACTAAACCTAATTTTTTTTCTGCTAATATAGATGAAACAAGACTTCAATAGGTTGTCCATTTCACTATTTCAGTTCTAGGGACGCTGGAAACAACTAGCCAATGTCCATAATCTCTGCTGGTCAGGTGAGTCTGATTACTGCATTGGCTCTGCTAATTATTATGGTAACCATACTTTGTCTTTGGCTGTGAAGTGCTACCACTTGACCTCTGCCAACCCAGATCCCATCATCCTCATTGGGTTTAGGATCCCCAGTTTGAGAGTAGCAGTTACCACTGTAATCTCTAATCTACAGAGCAAATCTACTGCGGGATTCTTCAGTGATGTTAGGGCTCCACTCATAAACTTATTTCTCACTGCCAGGGTGAAAGGAATGCCCCGAGGACCTGTGTGGGGGGAATCTAGGATGATCTTACCTGATAACCCACCAAAGGATTTTATTCTCTCTGTAATGGGTAGAATCCAAAAATGAGTCTCATGTCCCACCAGTGACCTTCAGCCTGTATCATTCCCTCTACTTGAATTTTGACAGAACCTATAAATACATTATTCTTATAATATTGTCACCTTATATGGTAGAAGAGATTTTTCAGATATAATCAAATCTCTACATTAGTTAACTTTTAGTTAATCAAAAAAAGGATTACTCTGGATAGGACTGATTTCTTCAAATGAGCTCTTTAATAGAGTGTTCTTCTGATAGACTGGGAAGTGTAATAGAAAAAAAAAAAAACCATGATATTAAACTGCCGCTGGACAGGGGCATCCTTTAAGAGCTGATGTCAGTCCTTAGACAAGTATTATCAAGAAAACAGGGACCGCAGACATGATCTGCAGGAAACTAAATTCTGCCAACCCCCTGAATGAGCACCAGGTGAGAAGTACAGCCCTGGGTAGCACCTTGATGGCAGCTTGGTGAGACCCTGAGCAGATGCACTGCTAACCCATGCCTGGACTCTTGGCCCATGGAAAATGCGAGATAATAAGTTTGCATTGTTTTAGGTGCTAGGTTTGCGGTGATCTCTTGTGAAAGTACTTGAAATGCACTACACTCACTAAAGCTTTGGAAAACTTATTCTACAGTTTACCAACCAAGTCAGTCCATTCCACAATTAAGGGGAGAGAATTGCACAAGAGTGTGAATACAAGGCAGCATGAATTGTAGAGTCATCTTAAAGTCTACCTACCACATGGGCCAAAAATGCATGAATAATTTTACAGCAAGGAATTTTAAGCAGTAAATGTTACCAACAGAAGAAGTAGTTGCCTATGCCATTCTTAAACTTTGTTAAGAGATAAAGTACTAAGCTTAATTAACTTAAAATGTACTATTATGTATTTGATTTTAATGATATTTATGGGTAAAACATAGATTTTTAAGCAATCTTGACCCTTTTATATATCATTTGAAACTGATAGAGACTTAATAGTCAACTAGCAGTATCATTCATACCAGAAGACTCAAATACAAATATTTAAATCTAGGGAATCTGGCTACTGAGATATAACCAAATTTCTTAAAATGGAAGAACTAACATTATTTTCCAGAAAGATATTTTGCATGCAGAAATTCTTTGTTTACTTCGAGGAGTTTTAACTTGGCTTCCATCTGAGCCAACAGCTTTGGCATATATGTTTTCTATGTCAATTAAAAGACTATTTTTAGTAGCTATTTGTTCCACTAGAAACCCACTGAGATTTAGGTTTGCTCCTTTCAGGATTTTCTAAAAATCAATTGTAAAAAGATAAAAAGTAGCTTTTGCTTTACTAATTTCACTGCTCCAGAACTTAGTTTTGTTTTGTATGCTCAGAGAATTAGCTACTGAAATCATCACAACTTACTTCCTCATTCCTGATACCCTCACCAAAACTAATAATATAATAATAATAATAATAATAATGCATATTAAACTATATCCTTTAGTTAGTAAAAAGGAAATATAAATTAACTCAAATCAAGCTGAAATTTTATAAAATCAAAGTTGGTTAGAAGATAATGTCTCCTGAGAGTATTATTTGAAAGGGGAAAAGAAAATTAGAGTGATATAATTCTCCATTTAATTAAGAGATTTATTTGAAAGAGGTTTTTTATGGTAATTCTTGAGTTTTTCCAAAATATGGTTTTCTGGCTTTATATTTATAGAGATGTCCTGTCTAAAATAGATTGAAAAAGAGGACTAAAGGATATTGTGATTCCAATAATGATCCATAGCCTCACATTTTGAACTTGATTTTATTCCATGTATTCTATATTTCTTTGGCTTTGGTAATAGCTCTCTTTTCTTCTTATTTATTCCCTTCTCTTGCTGTTGAAACCCTTCTGGGGTTCCCCATTAATTACAGAATGATTCTCAGGCTTTAGTGTTCATAAAATTCCATGTTGGGACAATGTACATTTATAAAGAATACCACAGTGTGATTTTGATTCCACTTTTGAGAAACATTAATAAGATAAATCTGCTTGGGAAACATGTCCCCCTTTTGTAATGTGTCCCTTTGATGCCTCATCTCATCTCGTAGCCCTCCTTGTGCGCCTATTCTGGTCATAACAGACTCTGCCTTTCCCTCAGGAAACGTGTTCTCCCACAATCCTCATTTTTGTACATAGCATTCCCATTCAGATTCAATTAATAAACTGATTGAATTGGTCATTTCTTAAGCCTATCATCATAACTCAGACAAAAATTTATGATACTTGACTGTTTGAAGCAAAAATCCCTTCATGTCCAAAAAAATAGCCATTTTATCAACTTGTAAATAAACTAATTGAGAAATTTATGAAAAGGTCATCCTTGATGGGCTTTATTTCTTTCTTCTTAGAAGTCAATACTTGTTGATAGGTTGATTGATTTATATGATAAACTCTATGACCTTATAACTTGCACCATGATCTCCTTTTTTGACCCACATCGGTGGACTCAAATAAATAGACAAAGTATTATTACCTCGACGCTAAAAACACCAAAAGCCATCTATGAATAAATTCTCCAGCTAGTTTTGCAACATATCATTTTTATTTTGGTATTTTTACATTTTGAAAATTTTATGACTGTTTTGATTCATAAATTTTAATGTAACCATTGTAGTCATCTAGATTCATCTTCTAAACTTTCTCTATATTGATGACAGACCCTGATATTTCAGTTTTGTCATTAGGAGAGGTGAGTAGTGTTGAAGAACAACTCTAAAATTGGGCCTATTTTAAAACTTTTTGATTAAAATGTAATGCAATATTTTTATTCAATAAGGCTATGGCCTATCATTGATACTTCTACACATCATTGGTATTTGGAGCTTTGCTCTCTTGCATGAAATATGATGGTGTGTCTCACTCCTGTAAATGTTATAGCCACGTTTTACAAAATACAGAGGAAACCCTCAGATACATACAGATCAGCATGGCAATTCCTTCTTTTTGTGACTCCAAGTGATTAAACATAGGATGGGGCAAAATGGTGAAACCATAACAAAAAATCAGCCAGGCATGGCGGTGTGCTGCTGTAGTCCTACCTACTTGGGAGGCTGAGGCAGGAGAATTGCTTGAACCCAGGAGGTGGAGGTTGCAGTGAGCCGAGATCATGCCGCTGCAGTCCAGCCTGGGTGACAGAGTGAGACTCCATCTCAAAAAAAAAAAAAAAAAAAAAAAAAAAGGATGTAAAGGATTGAACCTTGTGGAGACCAGGTACCAGAAAGGACAGCACATAAAGGGGACACTGGGATGGGTACACAGACTCAATTCCACAGGACAGGTAACTGCAAGAGGCACTGATTATGCACCTGGTCACTGGGGAATATTTTAGGGAAACATATGGATAAATTGGAAATGACATACTCTTCAAAATTGCAACCATGAAGGCCTAGACCATTTTCTATGGGAATCCCTTAATGGAAAATCTCCCTGAAGAAACAGCCATCTCCCTCATGCTTAGAGTGAGAGCAAGAACAGGTGGCAAATACCAGACCATCTCTAATAGGCACACAGGACTTTAGACTATCTCCTGGTGAAGGGATTTCTCACTTGGTCAATAGTAGGAAAGATTCTCTTCAAGGAGGCATGTCTTCAACTATGATACCTATAAGCAGAACCCAAAATGCAGATTTTTATGAAAGTGATTGCTGACTGACGGAGAGCTCTTAGGAGAAGAGGAATGAGAGACCCTGATAGGGAAGGAGAAGAAAATTGAAGATACTTACAGAAAATATTTATGCTCGGCAGTGTGTATTGCACCACATCCCCCAAAAAAAATTTGGCGGCACCAAGACAAGGGGACTATCCTTTATAATCCCCATGTTGGTCACTCTGGCTGTTGACTGTCAAGGAGTGCATCTTGGGTGGGAGGGGATTTTCTTTAGACTAAAGGCAATTCTCTGCAGCAGCGGGGAGGTGGGTGTGCCCACTTGGCTGGGCAAGGTACTAATAGCACCCATTGTTGGGGACATATGCATTCCTGCCATCTCAGAAGATAATGAGTGAATATTAACAAGAACTTATCCTAAATAGGTATAAACAAATGTGGGTATTTGGGGCAATATATGTGGGAGTTAAAGATTAGTCTGCCTGAAATCAAGGTCAATGGAGGTCTGAATTATAATTAGTTTTTTGTTTGTTTGATTCTCTGTTTTGGGTAATAAACAGAGAATTATTATTTGGGTAATAAACAGTGTGAGAGGCACTGACTAACCACCATATTTTAAATTCTATCTACTAGCTTTTTCTCATTAACATACTTCTAAGATTAAGTACTGAGCCAGGCATACAATCAGGGCTCAGTAAATACATATTGAGTGAATGAAGGAATAAACATGGATTATATAAGAGTGACTGTATTAGTCAGAGTTCTCCAGAGAAAGAGAACCATTACAAAATTTTTTACACACACATGCCAGAGAGAGAGAGAGAGAGAGAGAGAGAGAGAGAGAGAGAGACAGGGAGAGACTGATTTTAAGGTATAGGCTCACAAAATTAGGGATGCAGGCAAGTTCAAAATCTGCAGGGCAAGCTGGCAGATGCTGGAGACCCAGGGAAAAATTCATGTGGAAATCTTGAGTTCAATGGCAGTCTGGAGACAGAATTCCTTTTTTCTCCAGAAACCGTAGTCCTCTCTCTTAAGGCCTTCCACTGATTAGACAAGGCCCACCCATATTATGAAAGAATGTACTCTACTCAGTCTATTGATTCAAATATTAATAACATCTAAAATAATGCCTTCACAACAACATCTAGATGTTTGAGAGAACAATGAGTTACCATAGACTAGCAAAGTTGACGCAGGATGTTAATCATCACAGATATCATCAGAACAATCTTTGCAGCATTTATTATATTAATATTTCTGCAATAAAGAATTTTCATCAAACTCTCATAAATATATAAAAATGCCATAATAATATTTCTATAATCTCACTACAATGTTTATTATTCTAAACCTTCATGTGTTGAATTTTCAGTAACCTGGAAGCTAAAAATAATTATCAGGTGTAGAATAGGGCAGTTACTTGCTCTTTTTTTGTGCAGTTAAGAATGTTTCCACATACCAATTAACTCAGAGTAAATCTTTCAGTACAGCATGAAATACTATAACATTTTCTGTTTTTCATGTAGAATATTTCACAACACAATCTCCAGACTGTTACCCTTGATAAATTACTTCATGCTCGTCCATTACAACAGTGCCTCTGAGGATAGTTTTTTTTTAAAGTCTAATGTAAAATAAATGCTAAGATCAAAAAACAATATTATAGTTCTATACTGCAGTATCCTCTAGTTTGCCTCAAAAGGCAAATAGCTAAAAATCCTCTAACGTGTAAAAATTTGGCATCTCTTACCTATTTGAATTAAGTGCAAATTGACAATATGTCCTTTCCTATTTTTAAAGATGGTGATATTGGCGTGATTGTGTCTTTGATTATAACTGAAATGTTCAGTACATAGTTATTCTTTTTTCTGTATTTTGCTTGCTCATGTATGCACCACAGTATCATGGCTTGCTTTTGCATCTTTTGGCAGACCCATTGTCATTTCATATTCTTGCACTCTTCTCTTTACATATGTTTTATTGTCTGCATGCACTAGTCTCTCTTCTTTATCCTCCTATTCCCAGCCTTGGAGAACTTCTTAGATCCCTTTTTTCCCTTGACTGCCACCATCTACTTTTATTTCCTGCGACACTTTCCTCAGACACCATCTCTATTTTATCTAGACTAGCTTAGGTATCACTTTTGAACATTCCCAAAGTACCTTGAGCCAACTATATTATGTGTCTCCTATATTTTTTGTTTTTAGAAGGAATTCTAGAAATGTCCTTCGGGAAGTACATGAATGTTCAAAGGTAGGGCTAGGCACTATCATTCAAACAATAGCAACAAATTTATTCACCAAATATTGATAACCACTGTCTACCTGCCATGCTGTGATAAGACAGAGAGCTATCTCTTGCTGTGTTAACAACATTTACTTGAAGTGAAAACAATCGCTAGTTAATGTTAATGTTGAAGTTTCCATGACAATAAGATTTCATGATGATTACGTATCTGAGTCTCTGGAAGAAGATGGTAATTGAGGCAATTAATTAATATTTTTAATATATTGGTGATTTCCATTCTGCACCATGTTCTTTGCTACCGTTTTTGTAAGTGTTGTCTTAGAATAACTTTGTGAGATTTATGATTTCATGTGTCAGGAAGTATCTTTATAAACTATAAAATACTATGTAAATGTAAAAGGCCAACTAGAACATCAGCTTCTTGACAGTTGTTTCTTTAACAATAATGTATAATCCAATAATGTATAATCCGTGCTTAATAATGTATAATTATTAATAATGTATAATCCAATAATGTATAATCCAGTGCTTAATGCACAGCATATATTTAAGAAACATTTGTAAATTAATGAATGAAGAATGCTCAATCGATATATGAACACTTTTAAGTACGTCCTTGCTTTAAAAAAAAGAAAACTTCTGTGATTTCATTTGACTACTGTGACATCATTTCTTTGTCTACTGATGCAGTTTTGTCTGAGTAGTTATCTTATACGTTTATATATTTATGTAACATATACGCCATATATATTTTTAAAATATCAATTTGAATACTTATTTTAGCAAAATGATCATGAGATTATTTTACTAATGTTATTAATTAACATTAATATATGTATTATATTTCATACTGTTTGAATAATACCAATCTTTCTAGTTTTAATGATATTGTTTTCACTATTCTAGTCATCCAGAATTTGAATTGATGAAGACTAAAAAAATGAGAGAGAAAAGTAACCAGGGGGCCGGCAAGTCATTGTTCAATCACTTTAAAGTTTATCTAGAAAAAAATCATAGCAAGGAAGTTATGTGAAGGCAGTGTACATCAAGCGTTACACTTCCAGCCTTGTAATGAAGCTTTCTTCCACTGAGTCATTTCGATGAATTACAGGACATACTGCAGTGTCCTTAAACAGCAACATGTGAAAAACAAAAATTTACCCACATATTTTATTTCACACACATTCTTTAATACTTGTTTTGTATCTTTATGACTTTACTGTCACCATCACTATTCTATGATCCCCATGTGTTAAAATAGTTAAAAATGTGATATTACTGCACTCATCTAATTTTTGGCAGCTTATTTGTCAGGTTCTGTGTTTGCTGTTTGCATACATTTTATTGTTTTCATTGAATAAGAGAAAGTTTGACTGGTGTAGTGGCTCTATTTTATCCTTATTTGTATTCCCTGTAGTGATGAGCACATTTCATTATATGTAATAGACCTTTAGTGAATACATGTTGAATGGAGATGTATAGTTTTAAAATGAGTGTGATTCCTTTTCCTAAAATCAGGCATTCTCTGTTATTCACAATGATTGTCATTTGTCACTTGTTAACATATGTCTCTGTTCAAAAATTTTTTCCCAAGTTTATTAGACTAACCATAATTTGAAGAAAACATAATATATATTAAAATAAATTTTACTAGCTTTAGTTTTCGTAATGTTTTTCCTCTTATTTTAGTTCATGGATGCTAATTTGAATAGCTTTGAATGTGAATTTCCAAGTTGCTTAATTGCGCTGGAAATAATACAGATACTAGTAGGATTATATGGTCTTTGAAATACCAAAATATTTACATAAAAGGCAAAGCAGAATTTATCATAACAAATCTTTATTCTGAGTTACAGCCTTTCTTGTATAAAAATATAAACAAAAGTTTATGTAAATGTTTGTAAAAAGTTACACTTCTTCATTTATAAGAAATCTGACTAAGCCAAGAGGAAATTTTGATAACAAAGAATCAATCTCTCAGATTCTCTGAAATTTTCATGTAACTACAAATCCTTTTGAGATAATTAAAGGAATGGTTATTTCCTTGGATATTTACAACTTCTTTATACAAATTCAAAAAAGGAAAAGAATGTAGGAGAAAAATTAGTAAATTTCAAAATCTAATAGACTGTCTTGAGTTTCGGTAAGAGAAGAAACGCACATTTTATGTTTGCAATTTCCTGAATTTTCATCTCAAAAGAAATCAAATCCACAATGACATGAGATAATTGTGAGTTTGTTGCGTGTCTTTGTCTTAATGTATTCATGCATCTGGCATTGGTATACAATTATCTAAATTATGTAGGGACTGGATCATTTAAGTGTCCATGGCTAAAAGTAGATTTATTGTTGTAAAAACATACAGTGATTACTTTTCCCCTAAGTGCATATCTAGCTGATTCAAGACTAGTGGTTTTTAAGGGAAAAAAGGTGCTAGCTCTTTATTACGACTAAATGTACCATTTTGATTCTCATTGGGCAATTCATGGACCATCTGGAAACCACATCTGGAGGAAGAAGGCTTGACAGGTTTTTTTAAGTAAGCGAATATTAATAAACTCTGTTTCCAGGGAATTTCAAAGTTCCATTTTTAAAATGGAAAACAAAACAAAACAAAAACTGAGTCTGAACTCTGATAACTATTTCTTATATAACTGGATGAACTGTTCTAAATTCAACTTTGAGGAGCTCACTAGCATCTCTATGCATATAATTAACTATAGTGGATACTGTACTGTTGTAATAAGTTTGTAACCACTTCTTGTTGCTATTATGATAAACTCAAGTGTTTCCAATATCCACTTAAAACACCATGTAATGCTAATCATCTATGAATGAGCAGTTCATCTCTCCAGTAAACTGCCTATCTCAGTAAATGCGATCTCTCATGATTCTCACATATTTTCATCATGTTTAGGGCAATACTGTGACCTTAAATAACACTATACAAAATGCCACTATTAATGCTGGAAGTGCTCCCAAGAAGCAGAGAAAAGTTATGACATTACAAGAAAAATTTGAATAGTTTTATATGTACTATAGAATAAGACCTAAACCTATGGTTACTGGCCATTTCAGGATGAATTAATCCAGTGTAAGGACCCCTGTAAAAAAAAGAAAAAGAAATCAGTGATGCTGTCCTTGCAGCTATGCAGGCAGCTGAAAAAAATCTTGTACTCTTTGGAGGATACCTTTTTATCTCATATTGAAAAGGTAGCTTGTCTATCAGTACAGATTTGCTATAAGAAAGGCACACCTATAGACTCTATTATGACTCAAGAAAAAGCAAAGTCATTATATGACTACTTAAAAGGAAGGTGAAGGATCTAGACCTGAAGAAGTTAATGCCAGCAAAGGATGGTTTGATATTTTCAGAAAGTGATTCAGCTTAAAACATATCAAGAAAACAAGAGAAGCAGCTTTTTCTGACCAAGAGGCAGCAGATAACTTCTCAGATGCCATTAAGAAAATCACTGGAGAGAAATACCTAATGTAGACGACGGGTTGATGAGTGCAGCAAACCACCATGGCACGTGTATACCTATGTAACAAACCTGCACGTTCTGCACATGTATCCCAGAATTTAAAGTATAATAATAATAATAATAAAAAGAAAATCATTGGAGAGAAAAGTTTACCTGCCTGAACAAACTTTTAGTGCAGCTAAACATACCCTATTCTGGGGGTAGGTGGAAAATGCCATTTGTTAGTAAAGAAGAGAAGCAAGCACCATGATTTAAGGCAGGAAGGGATAGGCTAACTCTACTGTTTTTCTATTTTTGCAAATGCAGTCGAGTTTATTATGCATGACTGCCCTTATCTATGAAGCTATTGATCCCCAAGCCTAGAAGAAAAAAAAAGATAAACACCTGTTGACAGTCTTTTGGTTGTACAACAAGAAAGCTTGGAAAGGATAACTCTTTTTCTTGATTGGTTCCATCGATACTTTGTCCTTGAAATCAGGAAGTACCTTGCCAGTCAGGGACTGCCTTTATACATTCTTTTGATATTGGACATGCCCCTGACCACCCAGAACCCCATGAATTCAACACTGAAAGCACTGAAGTGGTCTGCTTGCCTCAAACATGAGGTCTCTAATTCAGCCTTGAGATCAGGGGGTCATAGGGAGTATTTAGGCACATTACACATGGCACTTTATGGAAAGGATTGCCAATGCTATGGAAGAGAACGCTGAGAAAGTCTGGGAGGATTACACCAACAAAGATGCCATTGTTATTATGCAAAAAGCCGTGAAAGCCATCAAGCCTGCAAAATAAACTCCTGCTGGAGAAAACTGTGTCCAGGTGTTGTGCATGACTTCCCAGTATTTACTACACAGTCAATCAAGAAAATCATGAAAGAGATTGTGGCTATATAAATAATAATAAAAAAAGGCTGTGTGTGATGGGTGGTGGTAAAGGATTCAAGATATAGATCATGAAGAAATTCAAAAGCATGTAGACACCACACCAGAGGAACTAACAGAAGATAATCTGATGGAAATGAGTGCTTCTGAACCAATGGCAAATGATGAGGAAGAAGACAGAAGAAGCAGGGCCAGAAAACATATTGACGTTAGACAATCTGGTAAAAGGGCTCTGATTGTTCAAGACTGCTTTTGATTTCTTTTATGACATGGACTATTTTGTGATGCAGGCACTGAAACTAATGCAAACGGTAGAAGGAGGATTGATACCATACACAAATATTTTTAGAAAAACGAAAAAGCAAAAATGTCTGACAGAAATTATGATGTATTTCTGCAAAGTTGCAGCGAGCGTGCCTGCCTCTCTCGCTTCCCCTTTCACCTCCTTAACCTCTTCTGCCTCTGCCACCCGTGGAGACAGCGAAACAAACCCCTCCTATTCCTCCTCCTCCTCAGTCTTCTCAACGTTAAGACAAGGTGGAAAAGCCCTTTTTCATGATCCAGTTCTACTTAATGAATAGTAAATATGTTTTCTCTTCCCTATGATTTTTAATAACATTTTCTTTTCTCTAGCTTACTTTATTGTAAGAATACAGATCTATAATACATTTAACATACAAAATATATGTTAATCGACTGTTTGTGTCATCAGTAAAGCTTCCGGTCAATAGTAGGCTGTTAGTAGTTAAGTTGTGGGGAGTCAAAAGTTGTAAGTAGATTTTTGGCTGCACGGAGGGGTTAGAACCCCAACCCCCACGTTGTTCAAGGCTCAACTGCATACTATTTCTTGTTTCTCTATTCTCTTCCATTGAAGAATATGTCTGTCTTTCTACCCCACTGTTTTGATTACTAGGTCGGCAGTAAGTTGACATCAGATAGTGTAAGCCTCCAACCTTCTTCTTTTAAAATAAATGTTTTACTGTTATAAGTATTTTGCTTTTTAATATACATTTTAGAGCAAGCTAGGCAGTTCTTTCAAAGAAAAAAAATCTGATGGGATTTTGATTGGGATTACATTAAATATATAGATACATTTTGGTCAAATTTTCCGTATTAACAATAGTTCTATTATCTATGAATGTGGTATAAATCTCAATTTCTTTAAGTCTTCTTTAATTTGCCTCAGTGGTATTTTATACTTTTCTATGAACAAGTCTTGTGCACAATATATCAAATCCTATTTCTAAGTATTTGCTGATGTTATTGTAAAGGTTTTGAAAAACTGATACCCCCAATGGACATTGTTCGTATATAGAAATAGCTTATATGATTTGGCCTTGTTAAGCATATTTAGGGTTATAGTTGCTTCTACATTGAAGCATCACAATAGTCTGTATGCAGAACGATGTCATCCGTATAAACATACTGCATAAAAAACTACAGCCTTAACTAGGCTATCAGTGCCCCCTAGGATAAACTCGGCCTATGAGATGCTGGTTATTAGAGACCAGGGGCAGAGGTCATTTTGCACTAGGCAACTACCGTGCTACTTGTTCACTGCTATGTGTGGAAATTTTATTGTGTTTATTTAAAAAATTAAATTTATTTATAAAGCCTCAAAAACTCTCTATGATTCAAGGTCCATTGAACAATTATTTTAATTTAGAGCAGAAAAATAAATATAACTTATTTATGGATACCGTATAGCAACAGTTGAACAACATTGCCCTCTAGAAAATCTTTTTGAAATCATTTCTCCAAATAAAAAAGCTGATCTCAATTTTTGCATTTCTCTAAGTTCTGAGAACTCAGTAGTCCCGCCTGTTACATGTGACACATTTTCACATTGGTTAATGACACTGAAAATGATTGGCTGTGATCATATTGCAAAATTTCTAATGAAAAAAGCTCACATTAATATTCTCTAAGATATATTATTGCCCCCGTCATGACTAGATTGAAGAATGATTTCTTTATCCCATAACTCTATGTATTTCCTGGCTAGATTTTACATTCTAGATGTTTGTTTCTTTGAGTTCCCAGTACCTGCATTTATTTGCTTTTTACTATGGATCACTTATATGTTGGTGTGTGTGTTTGTGTGTGTGTATATATATATATATGATATATATAAATGGTATATATATAAATATGTATATTTATATTTATAAATATATAAATGGTATATAAATATATAAATGGTATCTATCTATCTATCTATCTATATATAATGCACGTGCTTGAGTTGCCCCATTGCAGAATTGGGAAGCATTATAAGGTCACTGTTTTTCCTTTCTTTAGTCATTTATCTCCAGATTCTAGTGTCTTCATATTTGCTTCACAGATTATATTGATTTTAATTCCTGTGCAGTTTGTTTTCATTATCTATGTCAATTCTAAAAGTTCTCCATCAACGAGGCTATGTCTGGTGTATGAAAGTCTCTGTCGTCTTCTTCTTATTTTAAAATTGTATGTATTTTCATTGCTTATCTGCTTTAATCATTTAAACATCGCATTGTGTGAATTTATCACATATATTTTATATGTTATACATAGTTCTGAATGAGACTTTTCTTTGGAATAAGTTATGATGGTCATATTTCCCTCCCTGGTCTTACCCATTTTAAAGTTTTTAAACTGCCTGCTATTTCTTTCCATGTGGATAAAACACTGGAGATACCCCACCTTATGCAATCAGATATAATTTTAACCAAATTTGCAGGTTTATAATTGTAACTAGATTTTAAATCTATTGCTTGTGTTGAGTTTATTAAATGCTTAAAAAGAGTCAGTGGTCTCAACAGAACCAGGTAAATTGCAATGTCAGTTGCACGACAACAATAATATACTACCAAAGCCTAAAGGTAAAAAATTAATATTATATTCTCATAATATCTCAAAAGCAAATGGCTAGAAGACTATATCAATACATTAAGTAATCTATGCATGTAACAAAATTACACTTGTGTCCCATACATTTATGTAAATAAAACAATAATTATATTCTTCCGGCCACCTCATTCCAACTTTAAAAACACAACATACCACAAAATCAAAATGCTGCTTTTAGGCCTTTGTCTTTGATACATTGTTTTTTGTTGTGGGTTTTGAAACTATTGCTCTAAATAGAATAGCTTGAGTTAAAAAAAAATTCCCATCTTTTTGCTCTTTTGTAATTTCTTTTATCTGTGCCGTCGTTTTGCTCTTTTAGTAAATGTCATTTTTAGACTTATGATCCACACACATATCAGCAAGCTGCTTTTTTTTTCTGTATTACGGGTCATACTCATGCTAACTTTAAATTGATGAGTTTTTCTTTAAGCTAAGTGTTTAATTTAGACTTGAGGTTCTGACCCTAATCTAAAACATCTTACATGGTCAGTCACCTGAATATGCTTATGATTTGGCTTCTTTCTGGGTCCATAATGACTCTTACTCACATATAGATCAGCTTTACACTTGATCAAACATTAACTGACATTTGGGAGGACAATTTTCTTTCTATGATTGCTTCATCTGAGTGTTACGTTTTGCAACCTAAAATTTTATATGTGTATATGATGTATATATGAATATAGTGAACTTATCCAGATTTATTTTTTCTACTCTTGTCTACTTATTCATTATCTTTGCTACTTTTGTATATTCTTGTGACATATATGTAGATACAACTATTATAATTGTAATTGTGAAATCTTCCTAAAATTAATGGGAGAGAGTTTATTAAAAGTTCTTATTTACCTAACATGAATTTTAGATTATAGTAGAACCTACTTAAAGGTAATTATGATCTGTTAATGACTTCCAATTGATTTTTCTTATGGCTGTAACAATTAGAGAGCACCTAATTAATTTATTTTACTAAATAAGTAAAACTGAGTATGGCCAGTCTCAAAATATCGCAATGTTCTGGGCAACAGACTTGAGAAATATTGAAAGAAGAAAAAACAATCAGTATGCCATTTTTTTTTTCAAAAATATAAGAGGCTTCAGAGCTCCTTCCACAAAATCCTTTCATTTCACAAATGTGCAACTTAGAGTCTGCTTGATTTATCCCCAGACATAATAATGAAACAAGGAGGAGCAGAACTCAGTACTTCTAATCCTGTCCACTATAATCTGCTCTTCCTGACCATATACCTAGACATACTGTCTTATTCTAGAAGAATATCTATATGATTAATACCTTGTCAGTTTATTTTTTTTCCATAACACACATGGTGGTGGAGAGTTGAGTAGGCCCAGACATCTGGTAAAAATTCTGTGTATTCTATCATCACTAATGGCTCCAAGTGCAACAGAAGTCATGTTTCATATTTTCGTGCTTATGATATTTTACTGATTAATTCTGGTATCATATTCATCATAAATAACATGGTTTATTAAAATGTAGTCAGCATTTTAAAAAGTATTAATTTTACATGTAATATTTTCTGGATATTTAAATATGATTCAATCAGTCTGAAAAGTACTAGGGAGAGTGAAAAGATAAAAAATGTTTCATCTTATTTTCTTTTTTAAAATGTTGCATTTTAAATTTGCCAGTATTCAATGGAATAACTAATGTTTTTTATTTAATCAGAAAAATGGAAATCAGAATATCCCATTTTGAATTATAACCCTTAAAAATAACATTAGGATCACAAATACTTATTGCCTGTGATGGTTAAATTTACGTGTCATGTTTACTGGGCTAAGGGATGCCCAGATTGCTGGTAAAACATTGTTTCTGGCTATGTCTATGAGAGTGTTTTCAGAAAAGTTTAGCATTTGAATGGGAAAACTGAATATAGAAGATTCCCTCTTACAAAAAAAAGTGAGAGAGTGTTACCCAATCTGTTGAGGGCATGAAAGAACCAAAAGGTGGATGAAAGGTGAATTTGCTCTTTCTGTTTGAGCTGGGACATCCATATTCTCCTGTCGTTGGACATCAGTGCCTCTGGCCCTTGAGCTTTCAGATTTGCACTGGAACTATGCCCATAGCTTTCCTCAACCTCCAGCTTGCAGATGGCAAATGGTGGGACTTTTCAGTTTCCCTAACTATCTCTCATAGTTAGGGAACTATGAGATCAACTATCTATCATAATAAATCTCTTTTTCTATGTCTATATCTCATCTATCCTATTGGTCTGTTTTTCTGGAGAACGCTGAGTAATACATTGCCTTATCTACTCTCCTCTGAGTTCAGCTTTCCAGTGGTTCTGAAGGTATGCTCCTGAGAAATAGCATCATTATCACCTGGAAACTTAATAGAAATGCTAATTTCTCTGCCCCACCCAGATCTACTGATAAGCAATCTGCTTAACAAACCCTGCAGATGATTCCAATGTGCTTTAAAGTTTGACGATTACTGTTTTAAACAAATTTTTTAAAATAAAGGTTTTTAAAAGAACTTAAAACAGAACTACGATTTGAATCAGCAATGCCACTACTAGGTATATACCCAAAGAAAATAAATTGTTCTATCAGAGGCACATACACTCTTATGTTCACTGCAGCACTATTTACAACAGTGAAGACGTGGACTCAACCAAGATGCTCATCAACAGTCGACTGGATAAAGAAAATGTAGTACACATACACCGTGAAATGCTACACAGGCCGGGTGCGGTGGCTCACGCCTGTAATCCCAGCACTTTTGGAGGCCGAGGCGGGCGGATCACGAGGTCAGGAGATCGAGACCATCCCGGCTAAAACGGTGAAACCCCGTCTCTACTAAAAATACAAAAAATTAGCCGGGCGTAGTGGCGGGCGCCTGTAGTCCCAGCTACTTGGGAGGCTGAGGCAGGAGAATGGCGTGAACCTGGGAGGCGGAGCTTGCAGTGAGCCCAGATCCCGCCACTGCACTCCAGCCTGGGCGACAGAGCGAGACTCCGTCTCAAAAGAAAAAAAAAAAAAAAGGAAATGCTACACAATCGTAAAAAAGAACAAAATCATGTCCTTTGCAGCAACATGGATGCAGCAGGAGGCCATGACCCTAAGCAAACTAAGGCAGTAACAGAAAACGAAATCCTGCATGTTCTCCCTTATACGTGGGAGCTAAACATTGAATACACATGGACACCAAGATGGGAACAATAGACGCTGGGGACTCCTTGACAGGAAACATGGATTGGAAGGCTACTTATTGGGTACTATGCTCACTTCCTGGGTAATAAGATTATTTGTACACCAAGCTTCAGCAACATGCAATTTACCCATGTAGCAACCTGTACATGCACCCCCTGAACCTAAAATAAAGGTAGAAAAACAAAGCAAAACAAACAAATAAAGTAAATGCACTTCTAATAGAAAAAAATTTATAAATAATGCAGAATTCCTCACTGCTAATGAATGAAAAAAATTACAATATTTTCAAAAAGATGTTTGGAATTTGTTTCAACACGTTTTACTAAATGAAATGCACCTCACTAAACTTCAGATTTTAAAAAAATTATAAAATAGCAGGGGCAAATTTTTATAAAAGTAGACTTGGGCAACGTAGTATTGAAGATTTTCCTAAATTTTTTCACTTCAACATGAAATAAGTTTACAAATTATAAGGTTACAATTATAAGACTTTTTAAATATCTCTAAATTCAAAACAGTGATATATCGTTCCAATTCAGTACAAATAAATATTGAATTATCAAAACTATTCTCCCAAATTCCTCACCAAATAGAACAGTAGTAGAATTACAAGACTTACCCAATGCCCACTATCATATAACATATTTTACAGAAGGGATAAAGTCGCCTAAATATTTAAATAAATACGGTAGTACTTGTTAATCATAAAGTTTTCATATGGCGAGGTGTATATACCGTTCCTCATGAAGAATCATATTGTAAATTAGCATGTTAAAGTCTAAGATGGCCACAGTAGGAAGCTGTTTAATTTTGTTTAATCCAAAATTTTTCAAATTAATTTATTGCAGATATCTTTCCTCAAGGAATATATTTTAACATTTCATAGACCTTGTGTTGTGAAGAACGTATTTCTAAAAGTGCTGACCTAAATTTCACTAAAAGCTATGCAACCATAAATATAGAATGTCTCCTTTGTGGAATCTATGGATTTATGTTAAAAATTTTCAACCAAGAAGAACAAAAAATTTCTGCTGAAAATTGTCCTTTGTTGAAAGAACACATGTAGCAACATTTCATCATGAGAGGTATAATAGTACTGCATAGTAGTTAGTGACTTGACTAACTCTCTCAGCACACACCCCTACCAGCTGTGTAATTTGTGTATATTATTTATTTTATCATCTCTGTGCTGCAGCCAGTTCGACTATTAAATGGGAATAATATTATCTAGTTTATGCAGTTGTGAATTTTAAGAGTTTCTGAAACAGAGTAACATAGTTCATAACACACAGCAGGGATCAGTGCATTTGAACTCTCATCATTAGTGTCTTGACTGAATACATTTGGAGATCTGTGAGCCTTCATATTATTGGAAATTTTCTTTGGAGAAATTAGTACTTATATATTTTAGCTCTTTTTCATTTTTACTTATACTTAATAGTTCACCGAAAGAGGAACAGTGAAAATGTGATAAAGTGTTTTGGGTTTACTGAAATGAATAGATAGCCTATACAATACATTTTGTTATCTGCTAATGCAGAACACAATCATATTAACATTACAAAAAATAGACTAAAAATCCCCAAGTGATATGGAAATAAAATATTAGTAACAAGACCTTAGACCCTAAATATTAGTAACAGAAAAACCACAATGTACTCGCTGTAACATGAAAAAATGAAACAAATAATCTTTACATACCTATGATACTATTAACTAAAAGATGTTTGGGTGTTTTAGTCGTATGGAGGTATATAACTCCAAAAATGCAGTTTAATACTCATTACATTTTTGTATAGTAAATTAAACAGTGTTTTGACATTTATTAGCTTCCTACTCCTTAATTAATTTAGAATAATCTCTGCTATAGGCAAAAATACCTATTTTCTGTTTCACAAATAAGAATCTAACATTCTTGGCTTCACAGCCACGTGCTGATCTCTTGGAGTTTTTTTTTTTTTTTTAACTTTGTTTAAATTTACTTTTAAATTAATTAATTATTTTTTCATTGACACATTGTAACTTACATATTTATGTGGTATAATACAATGGTTTAATACATATGTACATTGTATAATTACCCAGCCAGGGTTGTTAGTGTATTCGTCACCTCATTCATGTATTATTTCTTTGTGGTGAGAGCATTTGAAAGTCTATCATCTGGATACTTTGTTATATATGATGTTTCACTGTTAACCATAGCTACTCTACTAGGCAATAAAATACTAGAGTTGATTCATCCTATTTAATTGTAACTTTGTACCTGTTGACCAACTTCTCCTTGTCCTTCCCTCATACCGTGTCGCCCCTCCGCAGTGTCTGTGGTAATACTCTCTGCTTCTATGATATCAATGTCAGTAAAAAACAATTTTGATATACGAGTGAGATCATGCAGTATCGGTATTGTTTTTCTGTGACTGGCATATATCACTTAATAAAGTGACCTCCAATTTCATCTATGTTGCCATATTGCTGCAAATGACAGGATTTCATTCTTCCTTAGGTCAGAGTAGTAGTATTTTGCGAATATTTACTGTATTTTCTTCATCCATTCATTTGTTGTTAGACCCTTAGGTTGTTACCGTATCTTGGCTATTGTAAATAGTGCTGCAATAAACATGGGAACGTAGATATCTTTTCTATGTACTGATTTCATTTCCTTTGGATATATATCCCATAGCATGACTGTTGGATCATAGGATAGTCCTTTTTAATTTTTTTAGGGGGCTTCATACTATTTTCCATAGTGGCTATATTAATTTACAATCCCACCGACAGTAAGTGTTTCCTTGTGCTTACATCCTCACCAATATTTTTTTTTCTTTTGTCTTTTTCATAATAACCAGTTAACTGGAGTGAGGTAATATCTTCTTGTGATTTTGATTTGCATTTCTTTGATGATTAGAGAAGTTGAGCATTTAAAAAATGTATGTGTTGGCCATTTATATGTCTCCTTTTAAGATATGCCTATTAAGGTCTTTTGCCCATTTTTAATTTGGGTTATTTATTTTTTCTGTCAAGGTTTTAACTTCCTTATATTTTGGATATTAACCCTTTGTCAGATGTGTAGTTTCCAAATATTTTCTCCCATTATGTAAGTTTTCTTTTGACTCTGTTAATAGTTTCCTTTGCTGTGAAAGGGCTTTTTTATTTTGATCTTATCCCATCTGTTTATTTTGGTGCCTGTGCTTTAGAGGTTTTTAAAAAAATATACTTGCTTAGCCTAATGTTGTGAAGTTTTTCTTCTGTTTTCTTCCAGTCTTTTCATAGTTTCAAGATTCATATTTAAATCTTTAATCAATTTTGAGTTGATTTTTGTATATAATAAGATGTAAGGGTTGGGTCTCATTCTTCCGCATGTGGATCTATAATTTTGCTAGTAACATTTATTGAAGAGATTGTCCTTCCCCAGTGTGTCTTCATGGCACTTTGTCAAAAATCATTTGGCTGTAGGTGTGGATTAATTTTTGGGCTTTCTATGCTGTTCCATGGGTATATATGTCTGTATTTGTGCCAGTACCATTATGTTTTGCATACTACAACTTTTTAGTATATTTTGAAGTTAGGTAGTGTGATGTCTCAAGTTTATTCTTTGTGCTCACTTAATATAGTGCCTTCCACCAATTTTCAGTTTCATTTTTTCTTGTTTTTCTAGTTTCTCAAGGCAAAGTTTTAGGTTGTTAGAAATCTTTTTTTTTTCTTTTTGTTTTATTCTGTGAAAGATATCATTGTTATTTTGACAGATATTGTATTAAATCTATAAATTTCTTTGAGTGCTATGATTAACAATCTTAATGCTTCTGATCAATGAATATGGGATACCTTTCTATTTATTTGTGTCCTTTTCAATTTCTTTAATCAAAGTTTTATAGTTTTTAGTGTAGAGATCTTTCATTCCCTTGGTTTAGTCCTAGATATCGTTTTATTTTTTGTGGATATTTTAAATAAAATAGCTTATTTTCTTATTTTTCTTTAGTCTTGTCTTTATTTTTTCCCAGATAGTTCAATATTAGCATATAGAAATGCTGCTGCTTTTTGTATGTTAATTTTGTATTCTTCAACTTTACTAAATTTTATTTATTAATTCTAATATAGATTTTTTTCATGAAGTCTTTAAGTTTTTCTATATATAAGATTATGTCATCTGCAAACATGGACAATATAACATCCTCCTTTCTATTTTGGATGCCTTTTATTTCTTTCTCTATCCTAATTGCTCTGGCTAGAACTTGGCACTTGCAGTATCACGTTGAATAAATGTGGTGAAAGTAGGAATTCTCATCTTGTCCCTTTTCTTTCAGCTTTTCCTCACTCAGTATGATGTTAGTTGTGGGTTTGTCATATATGGCTTTTATGTTGTTGAGATTCGTAACTTCTGTAGTTAATTTGTTGAGAGTGTGTATGATAGAGGGATGTTAAATTGTGTCAAGGGCTGTCTCTTGAAATAATCATATGATTTCTTCTTTCTTTCTGTTAATGTGGTATATGACATTTATTGATTTGTATATATTAAACCAGCCTTGTGTCCCTGGAATGAATCCAACTTGATCACTGTAGATAATCTTCGTAGTGTGCTGTTGAATTCAGTAGCATCTTATTGAGAATTTTGGCACTTAACGATCATCAGGATTATTGACCTATCATTTTCTGTTTTTCTTGTGTTGTTGTCTGATTTTGGAATCAGGGAAATGCTAGCCTTGTATAATGGGTTTGGGAGAATTCCCTCCTCTTTAATTTTCCAGAACAGTTTGAGGAAAATTGATGGGTTTTTTTTGTTGTTGTTGTTTATTTTTTATTTTTTGACAGAGTCTTGCTCTGTCGCCTAGGCTGGAGTGCAGTGGCACAAGCTGGACTCACTGCAACCTCCACCTCCTGGGTTCAAGTGATTCTCCTGTCTCAGCCTCCCGAGTAGCTGGGACTACAGGCGTGTGCCACCACGCCTGGCTAATTTCTTTTTTTTTTTTTTAATTTTTAGTAGAGTTGGGATTTCACCGTGTTAACCAGGATGGTCTTGATCTCCTGACCTCGTGATACACCTGCCTCGGCTGCCGAAACTTGTGGGATCACAGGCGTGAGCCACCGCGCCTGGCCAATTGATGTTAGTTCTTTAAAGGTTTGGTAAAATCTAGCCATGATGCCAACAAGTCCTGAGTTTCTATCTGATGGATGACTTTTCATTACCAGTTCAATTTCCTCACTTGTTATTGACCTACTCAGATTTTTAGAAATCTCCTTAGAATTTAAAGTAGGTTGTAAATGTCTGGGAACTTATTAATTTCTTCTAAGCTATCAAATTTGTTGGCATATATTTGTTCATAATAGTATATTATCTTTCCCCCGCCCTGTGGTATCAGTTGTAGTGCCTGCCTTTTCATCTCTGATTTTACTTATTTGAGTCTTCTCTCTTATTTTCTTAGTCTAGCTAAGGTTTGTCAATTTTGTTTATCTTTTCAAAAAACAACTCTTCCTTTTGTTAATCTGAGTTTTTTTTTAACATTTCTCTATTTTGCTTATATCTTCTCTAAGCTTTATTATTTCCTTCCTTCCACCAATTTTCAGTTTCATTTGTCCTTGTTTTTTCTAGTTCCTTAAGGTGCAGTTTTAGGTTTTTATTAGAAATCTTTCTTCTTTTTTGATGTACATGTTTATTACAATAAACCTCCCTCTTAGTTCTGCTTATACTGTTTCCCATAGATTTGGGTAGGATGTGTTTTCATTCTCATTTGTCTCAAGAAAATTCTTCACTTTCTTTCTAATTCCTTCATTGACCTATTGGTTTTTCAGGAGCATGTTATTTAACATCTCTGTATTTTTTAAGTTTCTGAAGTTTTTCCTATTTATTTCTTTTTTTCTTTTTTTTTGTTTTCTTTTTCTTTTTCTTTTTCTTTTTTTTGAGACAGAGTCTCGCTCTGTCGCCCAGGCTGGAGTGCAGTGGCGCGACCTCGACTCACTGCAAGCTCCACCTCCCGGGTTCATGCCATTCTCCTGCCTCAGCCTCCCGAGTAACTGGGACTACAGGCACCTGCCCCCACGCCCGGCTAATTTTTTGTATTTTTCGTAGAGATAGGTTTCACCATGTTATCCAGGTTGGTCTCAATCTCCTACCTCGTGATCCGCCTGCCTCGGCCTCCCAAAGTGCTGGGATTACAGGCGTGAGCCACCGCGCCTGGCCTTTCTTATTTATTTCTTTATTTCTAATTTTATATTTTTGTGATCTTGTTACTCCAGGGTTTCTTTGTTGATATTTTGTCTTGATGATCAGTCCATTGGTGAAAGTGAAGTACTGGAGTCCCCTAATATTATTTAATTGCAGACTGTCTCTTGATTTAGGTATAACAATATTTACTTTAAATATCTGAGTGCTCCAATGTTAGCTGCTTATATATTTATAATTGTTATATCTACTTGTTAAATTGATTCCTTTATCATTATATAATGGCCTTCTTTTTCTCTTCTTACAGTGTTTGGCTTAAAATCTGTTTTAACTGATCTAGCTATGGCCATTTCTACTGACATTTGGTTTCTGATTGCATAAAATATGTTTATCAAGCTCTTCTCTTACGTCTATGTTTATCTTTAATGATGAGGTGAGTCTTTTGTAGGAAACGTATGGTTTTGGGTCCTATCTTTTTGTCCATTCAGCCATGTTATGTTTTTCAATTAGATAATTTAATCCATTTACATTTGAAGTTATTCTTAATAGAGAAGGACTTGCTCCTGTCATTTTGTTAACACTATATTAATTGTTTTCTGGTTAGTTTGTAGATCCCTTGTTCTTTTCTTCCTCTTTTTTTTTTTTTACCTCTCTGGTTTTCTGGGATTTTGTTGTTGTTGTACTAAGTTTTATTTCCTTTCCCTTTCTTATTTGTTTATCTGCTGTAATTTCCTTCTTTGTAGTTACCATGGGGCTATCTTGAAAAGCCATAATAAACTACTTAATCTGATAGTAACTTAAATTGGTCACATAAAAATAGTATACACAGCAGCCATGAGGTGGTCTCTCAGGATAGATGGGGCTGCTGTCAGACTTGGTGTTGTGCTGGATGTGGGCACATTCGGGTGTGGTGGGGTTGGGCAACTTTGTGGTGGTCTGTCAGAGGACAGGACTATCAGAGAACTAGCTGTTGGCCGGGTGCAGGCATGTGTGGTGTTGGCAAGCCTGCCAGCTGTGCAGAGCAGACAGGAGTGGATGAGGAGGCAGGCTGGCATTTCAGTGGCTCTTCCACTGTGCAAGTCCACCTGTTCCCTGTGGGGGTTGTGGTCTGTGTGGGTTAAAATGCTGTGGTCTTCATCATTCCATCTGCCTAGAGTGCAGGCAGCCAGAGTCATGGTGTTATGGGAACTCTTACAAACATAATGGAATGACTGTGGCACCTCAGGAATGGAAAGAATCCATTGCTACTGATCCCCAGGGCAGGATATCTTTGGTGGTTGGTCTGGTTTCAAGATGGTGCCAAGCTGTGGCAACTTAGGTTGCAGGAGTAGGGGCGCTCAAGGTGGACTCCTACTCTGAGGGTATGAAGCAGCACAGATTTCTGACTAACTCTCCAAACAAGATTCAGGGCCTGTGAGGACTTGGGGAATCTCCTGTAGCAGAGACTACTGACAGTTTTGGCAGGAGTGGGGACTGCTGGGCAAGTGAGCTCCAGCTCAGCTGTTCCCTGTAAGAAGAAGTCCTCCTGACTCTGCACTGACCTTGGTGTGGCAGATGCAAAATGCCTTGCTCCCCTCTCTATGGAGAATCTTCTCTCTCTACCTCTCATTCCTGGAAATGAAACTGTGTCAAAAGAAATATATTCTCTTAAGTAAAGCACATAACTACTACTCAGTAAATATTTGATGAATCATTTAGAAGTTTATTGACACAGTCACTTAGTGATAACCCCACATACCACTTTAAGACTTAACAGAAAACAATTACACAAGAGAAAAATTCTGTCGGCAATTTTTATTGGCTAATATTAAAGACTTCAAGCCAATTGCTTGTGCTAGAAGATTCACAAGGTTAACCAGTTACAGTAATGATTAAGGTTTGTTAACAACAATAACAAAGATAACAAGCTGACTGGATGTTGTAAGGTAACTCTACACTCTCTCTTTGGCAGTGACCCCACAGAGCAGATATATGATGGAATAAACATTTCTAATATGGGCTTGGTTGTGTAATGGCAAAGCTCACTACTTCTAGTAAGTTTTAGATATCTTAAGATAATATCCAATATAGTAAATTTATATTTAAAATCACATAGCAGAATAAAATCAGAATGTGAATTAGAAGACCGACAGTTAGCTATGGCTTTTTATTACCTTTGCAAGTCACTTGACCTCCCACGTCATTAGCCTCTTTTTGCGTAAAGTATGAAAGTCTGACTAACTGATTTTAGTTCCTTATAGCTTTAAACTTTGATTTTTTTTTCTCTCCATGGTTTTAAGATTTATTATATATGTCATGGTGAGATAAATCATTTTTCAGTCATCATATAGCCACAGGAATGTGTCTATGTGTAATATTAGCTTTCTATAAAAATCATTATATTTTCCTCTTAGGGCAAAATGCTTACTTTAGTCATTTATGGTATGAGCATGATTATAAAGAAGGATTAGCATTTCTATATTTTGTAAAGCATCAATCATCATCATCATGCTATGAATTTTGTCTTCTGATTGCTAAGTCTGGAAGTTCATATTGAGTTTTCTTCTGCGTCTCTCTTCAAGACCATGAATGACAGGTCAGTTTCACTGAGAGTGGTGTGCAATCTTTCCTGCGTTTTAGTTTCGGATAATCTAACACGAAAGAAAAGAGTTCTCTTATTTATTGGAAAGCTAGTTGTAACATGGGATGTCATTGTAAAAAAGATCAGAAATAAAGAGTAAATTTAATATTTTTATTTTTGCCTATTTGCATAATTTTTCCTTCAAATTAAATACATATCTTCAGTAGAATACTTCCTCAAGTATTATTTCTAAATGTAGAATAAGAATATTGAACTATATGCAACAAAATTCTCACCTAAATACATTAATCTTTTCTGTTAACTAATCAGTTGTATCAATAATGAAGTAATGATTTATATATTTAATAAAAGCATGCTGCCCTGGGGATACACAACAAAGAACTGTTCTGTCAAATGACTTGTGTCACTTTTATCCATAGATAAAATTCTCATTTTCTGTTATATTGAGAAAAACTACTCTTTCCATAATTTACACGTGTCTAAAAGGAAAAATTTTAAAATGTGTGTCTTCTAGTTTAAATCCATGAGGATAAGTGAGTAATTATGATCATGCTTACATAAACCTGAAGCATTCTAATGTGTATTCCTGTTCGCAGTGTATAAATATCCAGAAAAATTGAAGTTAGGTAATGAAGAGTTAAACTTTCACCATACTTGTCATCTTTTAAATTATCTCCAAGTAAATAAAAGAAAAAAAAAATCCAATAACACATAGCGAAGTTATTCCTACCAATTCTATTATTTCTGTTAATTTAGTAACTAGTAAACCTCGTTTTCCACTCTGTGAAGTGACAATCCCCCTGGCCATGAGCTCTTTTATTTCAGGACTCTAATTTGAAACATTTCAATCACCTCTGAAAGTTGCAAAATGATCCACATGCTGATCTCCCAGAAGCTATGTCATAATGCAGATGTGCTACACTTTGCAAGTAGAAACAGAATGTTAAAAGATCAGATTACCTTTCTTCTTGGAAACCTACATTAACACCTAAGATGTTACTTAGGTTAGCTTTTATTTTGCTGGAGGCTCTCAGGGGTGCCGCTGCTGGTTGGCAACGCCATTAAGTAAGTTCAAGTTGGGAATGGAAGGTTAACAACAGTCTCTGTAATAGAAATGTAGACAAAAGATAATCTAAGTTTCTAGCTTTCAAGGGATTCATGGCGGTAGCTGACTGTGAGCTCTCAGTATTAAATCTAATAAAGTCCTCGGGCAGAGCAGTGGTGGGGTTGTTACCTTTGAGAAATGACACTCTGGTTTTCCACATTTTGAGTCAGAAATAGGCACACTGGAAGACTCTTCTATTTTAAGGGAACATGAACTGAAATCAAGATTTGTAATAATTTTTTGGCTCTAGCGTTTATAAATGATCATTTCCAATATAAAAATCTTGAATGAAAATACGATAATGAAACTGCTTCTTCTTATTTATTTTCCAGGTCATAAACTGGCACAGACACTGACGTAATTTTGCAACTGCACTTCATCAAACCAAACTTCTTTTTCCTAACTCAGTTTTCTCTCAAGCGAACAGTGTCATCACAGGAAGAGGCTCTAATGTAAGTGCTGCTAATGACTTTAGATTTAATTTGAATATAAAGTAGAATATTAGTTTGAGAAGAAGCACCTTGTAACGTGCAAAGTTTGAAGGTGCAGTTAACTTGGAAAGTTCTAGTTTCAGTTCACTTTCTCAAGTTGCCCTTCACAGATTTCCTTTCAGTTGTTCCTACTTCCTCCAGAATAATGTCATGTTCATTGAAGGATTTCTTTGGTCATTTTATCTTTAGGAAGAGCTAAACAGAAATCACATATTCCTTGACAAGGTCTTACCATACTCACTACACTGTCCTGCATTCAAAATCTTTGCTGTTCATGAAGAATTTGCATTACATGAACTTTTCTTCCTATCGAATTATTTAAAAAAAATAGAAACCAGAGACAAATGAGAAAGATAGCATTCTTAATCTAACTGAAGTTTTTTAGAAGTAAAAAATATATAAACCAAAAAAATTTAATGACCACTAGCAGCAAAAACAGCTTGTGTTAAACACTAACACCATTAAACCACTAAATAGAAAGAAAATCGCCACCATCTCTGGGTAAATCAGGTGGATGCTACCTATATTTTAAAATTCAAAATTCCTTTTGCTTAACAATCTTTATGAAATATATGTGATAATTTAGTGTATCTTTAACTATTGCCAGATTTAGACTTGGGAATTTATTTTTAAATTTGAATTTAAACATTTAATCCAAGACTGGAGTAAAGTGAATTGATTGTAGTGTCTAAAACGATGGAGGACAAAAATTTCATTTTTTTAAACTTGTGGATATGTCCAAATCAATAGGAAAAAGACAGAAAGAAGCAATATGCATAAGAAAATGAAAGTGCTAAGAAGAATATACTGGAGGATGCCTGGATAAAATAATTTACTTCTCTTCTTTCTTACATTACATTCATCATATAACCTGAACTCACATGCCACCTGCTTTAAAACACACACACACACACACACACACACACACACCCTTCTCTAGCTACCTTTATTTTTTTTTTTCTTTTTTTGAGACGAAGTCTCGCTCTGTCGCCCAGGCTGGAGTGCAAAGGCTCTATCTCGGCTCACTGCAACCTCCACTTCCTGGGTTCAAACGATTCTCCTGCCTCAGCATCAGGTGGCGTGCTCCTGGGATTGCAGGTGCCTGCCACCACACCTGGCTAATTTTTGTATTTTTAGTAGAGACAGGGTTTCACCATGTTGGCCAGGCTGGTCTCGAACTCCTGAACTCATGATCCACCCACCCTGGCCTCCCAAAGTGCTGGGATTACAGTCATGAGCCACCTTGCCCAGCCTACTTTCTCTTTTCTAATGAATACATCCACTATGAATGCTCTATGACATCTTTAACTCTGCTGAGATATGAATTAAGTTTTGTAATAGGCAAGACAGTTGGATTTCTTAATAAAAGTCATGCATTTTAGGGAGAAGTTATTAACAGATAAGGAAATGCAATCAATTATTTTGAGGAAGAAATGTGATTACTTTGCAATATATATTTCTAATTTCTCAGAAGAAAAAACACGTTGGAGCAAAACATAAAGGATGGCTGGGCAGAATTAAACAAACCTAACATAAGATGATCCAAATTACTGCATCTTTACATCATATATTTATTGAGGGAAGTCTGCATTCGTTTTCCTCCATGTGGATGGAGACATCAGACCATACATACTGTAATATTGAGTCAGAAAATTACTGGTTCAGAGCTCTGGTTTCACATCTGGCTAATACATTGCAAAAATATTGCCTAGAGATTGTATATGGTCTTTGAAGACCTAGATACTATTGAAATTAATTGAATTTTTGCAACATCTGGATAAGCAGAGATGTCGTGATAGTAGGAAATGGCCTTATACTTGCTACATACAAAGTCTGTACAAAAAGATGAACACCAGGTGCATTTCAAATGCTTCATTTGTGGCGTTGTCCACATTAGTTCTTCATCTGTGCCTAGATTTCATTGCCCTTTTCAACATCTTTTTTTTGAGATGGAGTCTCGCTCTGTCGCCCATGCTGGAGCAGTGGTGCAATCTTGGCTCACTGCAACCTCCGCCTCCCAAGTTCAAGCGATTCTCCTGCCTCAGCCTCCCAAGTAGCTGAGATTACAGTTGCACATCACCACCCCTGGCTAAGTTTTGTATTTTTAGTAGACATGGGGTTTCACCATGTTGGCCAGTCTGGTCTGAAACTCCTGACCTCAGGTGATCTGCCCACCTCAGCCCCTCAAAGTGCTGGGTTTACAGACTTAATGTTAAATAAAATAAGCCCCTCTAAGCAGCTGTTCTTTACAAATTTAAGAGGTTCTGTGTTAAATTCTAGTGGAAGATGAGGGTAGTATCAATGTATAGAGATCAATGTTTTAGGGAATGTTAGAGCTATTTGATAGACTATAGCATCTCTCCTTGAAATTGTAGAATGTACAGATTGAATTTACCTTGTTAGACTTTCTGAGATTTGTATCTTATCGTAATAATAATTGTTTCAGTTTAAGCTAGCAATTTATAAGATTCTTGTAGCAAAGACCCGGTATTTAGAAAAAAAATCACTGGTTTGCCTCTAGCTGATCAGTTTGACATCAATGTGGGAAATATTATATTAAGGAAACAAATTTTTTTTTCTGCATTAATGTCTAACAAAAGGGGTAATGGAAAGGAAATTTCAAAGATCAAATAGTTCAAAAATGCCTTTAACAGCAAAAGTACTTTTTTCAATATCTTTAAGTGCTTTGTGCTTAACAAGAAATTTTTCAAATTTCAAAATTTAAGATGTCAAATAAACTTGTAAAAAGTTTAGAAAACTCACTAATATTTAGAAAACTATAAAATATAAATTTCTCTTTTAAAATTTAAACAGATTTTATGTCTCAACATTTTTAATAAATTTACTTTTTATATTCTAAAAACTGATCCATTTTCATATTTAATGTGGAGTAAAATGAATTAAAGCATGTTGATATGACATGAACCCATTTGAAAGAAAAACAAAAATACTAAAATACGTAAAGCTATACCAAGGGAATTAAAGATGAATAATGCGGTTTGCTTAAAAGAGTTCACCGTTTAGTGAGTTTATCTGAGAAGCAAATAGTCATTATGAAGACCGTGAGAAGTGTGTACCTCTTCACAGATTAGTTCAATGTGTCACTGAAGGCAGAAGAGGAAGAGGAATTTCTAGATATCTCAGGGAGGGAGGAGTCAGAAGGTTTAGTTAATCACTTGCATGCTGGCCTCAGAGTGTGGCAGTGACAGCAGGTGAGAATAACGGCTCCAAATATTATTCTGTGAACAGAATGTCATCATAAGTTATATTCCAAACATTATTTTAAGACAAATTATTGATTGGAAGTCATGGACAATGGATTGATTTTTCCCAAAGCCATCTTGTCAAGTAGTGGAAGTCATGGACAATGGATTGATTTTTCCCAAAACCATCTTGTGAAGTAGTATTTAAATTTCCAAATTAAAACCTAATTCACAAAGTGTACCAACAAAGTGTCTGGAGTAACCAGAGAGCAAGAGGACAACAAATATGTTCCCTACCAATAACCCTGCTTCTTCAGGGTGAATTCCACAGCTGCCCAGCAACGGACCGTTTTCCATCCCGAGGCATGCCTAGGGTTCTGAAATGATCTTTCTTTAAGGATAAGCCAGTTGGTCAAACAAAAGCTACTTTGTCTATCCCTGTGTTGGTTTAACCCTTGTGGTAGAGTAAACATTGATGTTCTAGGATGATGAAATTCCCATTTATCAGATGCTTTGTTTTCCGGTTTCCTGTAGAACCAGCACATTCAAAAACAGCCAACCTAGTCTTTTTCTGCGATGTTACAAAGAGACTCAGTTTGGTGGTCCCTGAAGTGCAGATGTCTGTTCTCTTTACCCCCAGTGGACATACCCCCGTGCATACCCATAGACATGAATCACCTCAAGCTCCCAGGGCAGTAGAACCCCTAAGGAAACTTTGCTTCACTTTCTGTGTCATTTGTTCATTGGAAGATTTCTGCCATCGATGTCTATGGTTACTATAGTTGTTGCAACCTTTAATTCTGTTCAAACTACTAGCAATATCTTCGTTTTTCTTTTTTGACTTTTTTTTTTGCCCGTGTCTTCTATTGTGGTTTATAAGCTTTTGTGTAAAAAGCCTACTTGTTAAAAAATTGACTTCAAATACATAAAAACTTACTTTCCCTCTCTTATGTGATAGCAAACCACAACACATAAGGTATACTCTTTAAAATTTGGATGAGACTTCCTTCCTCCCTTGCCTTCCCTCCCTCCCTCACTTTCTCCCTCCTTCTTTCCCATCCTGCTTTTCTCTTCCTTTCCCTTCCTCTTTTTCTCCTCTGTTTCCTTTTCCTCTTCCTTCTCTCTCTCTCATTCTCTCTCTCTTCTGGTTTATGTTGTGTATTGGAGGCTGTTCTAATTACGTCAAAGCCACTGTGATGTCTTTGGGGTGTGGGTGTGTTAGTGGCAGTTTTAATCATGGTTTTTGTTTTTGTTTTTTGAGCCGGAGTCTCACTCTGTTGCCCAGGCTGGAGTGCAGTGGCACAATCTGAGCTCACTGCAACCTCTGCCTCTGGGTTCAAGTGATTCTCCTGCCTCAGCCTACCATGTAGCTGGGACTACAGGGGTGCAGCACCACGCCCGGGTAATTTTTTTTTTTTTTTTTGTATTTTTAGTAGAGACAGAGTTTCACTATGTTGGTCAGGCTAGTCTCAAACTCCTGACCTCAAATGATTCTTCTGCCTCAGCCTCCCAAAGTGCTGGGATTACAGGCATGAGCCACTGCACTCAGCCTTATCATGGTTTTTGAGGCATTCTAGAAAGCTGATTTCTGTAAGACACGGTCTTACTATATTTACATAGCTAGTAAATCTGTGGTGCCTATTTATTCTAAAATGTGGTAAAATGTGAAAACATAAATTGATTTAGAAGGGTTTAGATAAATTTATATATAAATAATTTATTATATTGTCATCATCTATTAACAACTATTTATTTTCACATTAGCATTCAGTTTCTTCATATAATAATAAAAATAATATCTTCATAATAATAATAATATAGGTGTATAAGAGATGTGACATAGGATTTAGTTATATATTGTTCACATCTACACTATCTATGTCAACATATGCCCTTCAGAAATTTTAAGTCATCAGCACTCATGTAAATAATTGAAGAATAATAATAGAAAATTTGTGATTTACAAAAGTCCTACTTCATAAAACACAACGTAGTAATCATTGATTCTTTGTGAAAGCAATTGAATATTTCCATTTTTTTTTTTGCATTTAATATGATGGAC
Source organism: Homo sapiens (assembly GCF_000001405.40). Lineage (NCBI taxonomy): Eukaryota > Metazoa > Chordata > Mammalia > Primates > Hominidae > Homo > Homo sapiens. The sequence goes on along the minus strand of NC_000004.12, from coordinate 179,796,305 downwards.
AAGAAACTTATTTTAGGAGAAATTTAATCTATTTGATATATAAAAGTGTTGGAAATGGCTTGAGGTATTTTGTTGAAATTTTGTTTTTTTTAATTGACAAATAATAATTGTACCTATTTATGGAGTATAATGTGGTGTTTAGATATATGTATACATATTGGAATGATCAAATCAGGCTAATTAATGTATCTACCAATGCAAATACTTATCATTTCTTTGTGCTGAGAATATTTAAAATTAATATAAGCTATTTAAAATAGCTAACATTAATTAAATTAAATTTTAATAATAAAAACATGTTAAGATACACAATACAGTATAATTAACTATAGTTACCATGCTGTGCAATAGATCACCAGAACCTTTGATTATAGCAGTTTTCATTGTTAGTGCTAAGAAAATATATATTTATATTTTTTATAGATAAACACATATATTTTATATATAAAATAAAAAAATATATTTTTTTCTTTTAATGTACAAACTCTGATTCACAGAAACAATGGGTTTAATTGCAAACTATACTTACCTGGGACAACAAATCGCAGTTCTGAAATTGTTTTTGAATTTATATATCTATCACTTAGATTACAAATAAACTCTGAGGTGGTATACTTTCCTAGATGATCAGGTGAAGCTTGACAGGAAGCCAAGAGGCAGCTCTTGGTGAGTGCTCTGTGAATAAAGGTATCTCTAGTCTCCAGAGAAGCCTTTTAACTCCCTGTAATTTACATAGTATACTTCCCATCCACCCTGTCTGAAAATGTTTCCTTTTGGAGTTGACTACAAAGGTTTTTTTTTTTCTTTCTTTCTTATTTTCATTTTTTGGTGTTTTGTTGTTTAAAATAACATCACAGAATAGTCAGATTCTTAGTAGTTATATTTTATAGACTTTTTTTCATTACAAAAAAGAAGGAAATATCACATGAAAGATTTGCAGATGTTGTAAGTAGGAAAACATCTTAAAAAGTACCTTCAAATATTCCAAAATTCAAAAAGCATACATCTTTCTTTTTATGTAATCAATTATATAAAATAAACTATCATATTTGTGGGAGAGGGATTGATGCTTTTGATTTTACTATAATTTTGAATCAAGATCATAGTTTATATGACTTAGAGATAAAATACATGTAATAGATAAAATATAATACATTCTTTGAAATATTTATGACCTTAAAACTACATTTGAGTCTTAGGACTACTGGAATGAAATATAGATTTCTACAACAAAATGTTTAAGTGTATAAATTATGCTAATCTTATGTAAAGAAATTTCACAAAAGGTTAATAGTTGTACTGTTAATTGGTAGTTGAATCAAGTGAATAAAACTTCTTAAGCTATAATTTCTGGGTTGGTGTTACCCCTCTGACAGAAATGCTTTGATATTTATTTTACACCTTCCTTTCTGCTTAACATCGCTGTCGACTGTAGCTCCATTTGAGACTTACAAGTGTGGCCTGTCCACTTTGTGGGAGTGAGGGCAAAGCCCGCTCTGAGGAAGACACTACTGGCATATTCTAACTGGCTGACTTACTGGGTTAGTCATGTTTTACTCCTGACTTTCAGCAGGAGGCAAATAGGTACTTTTTTATATACTTCAAGCACACCAGGCTGAGAGCAACAGACTTGTTAAATGAATGATTTTCGGGGACTTAATCTGAGCATCATTAAGGGTAGGAATAGACTTCTAACTGTGGCTTGCAATCTTATTTCCCAGAGGCATGTGTGGATGTAATGAACTGACTTGAATGTTTCCAGGAGTGCCTGTTACGTGCCAAACTGTTAGGCTTAGCATTTTCATGTACATACATTCTCATTCGCTTGTCGGAACAACACAGTGAAGCAGAAGTGTTGGGCAGCTATGAGGTTCAGTGAAGGTAAGCAACTTGCAGAAACTCATGCACTGGGGAGGAGGGAAGAGGTAGCCTAGCTAGAGGCTGGATTTTAATCCAGATGGTCAGGCCAAGTCTAGCATGCTTACCACTTTACTGCCTTGTAATGGGAGCCTCTGAGACTTTAAGAGGCCTATCTGGAGCTAGAATTCTGACTTTGGTGAAAGATTTCCTGTACTTTAAGAAAGTAGAAATACTAAATCTTGTTCTGGGAACATTGTTCCCAGTTCAGGATGTGTTTGCCATGTGCGCAAGTTATTTAATCTGTTAATCTTAGGTTCCCCAATCTAAAAATAATAAGGATATTTCAAGCTATTGCCCACAGATATTATAAATATTAATGTAATAATTATTGTCATAAGTCATTTTAAACTGCTCCAGAAATTTTCTGACTGGTAGATGGATCCACTAATTCTATTTTTATCCTCCTACAGAGCCCCCACCCTAGGCCCATTCCCTTACTCACCCCCGCTTGGCAAGAACACTTGAAGAACTGACAGAAGACGCTGCAGTAAGTAGTATCATGGCCCCAAGGGTGACAGCAGTAATGACATGAATCTCACTTTTGATTTTGATGAACGTTCTTCTTTGCCCTAAGCCTGGTTCTTTTTTTTAATACTCAATGATTATATGACCAACCAACTGTTTAAAATAATTTCTTTAAAAATAAAATTTATAGTTGTAAGCCTCCAGAGACCTACATGTTTATACCAGCCTATAGATATTATATGATTTCCATTTCTGTTTTGTCGATTACGCTTTAATGCTGTTGATATTATCATGTTGTCTTTCTCCAGTAGACTTTATGCTAGACCACTTTCAAGATAGAAAATAATATAGAAATGTTCAATAATAAATAACCTTTATATTCCAGGAAAAGAAGAAAGATGTAATAGCTAAAATAAATAGCAAAGAGCCAAAAGTTATTGAAGAATAATGTAGTAAAACAAAACTCATGCTCAAATATGCCTTTAAGCCTTATCTCTGTCTCCTAGTTTCTGTGTGAATCAAGTAATTAACTGAATGTATCTGAGCTGCAATTTCCTTAGGTGCTAAAATGGACTAAATAAAAACATATGTGTGTTAGAGAGAGGGAGTGGGAAGTAAGTAGAATAATACTTGTGATATCCAAATGTAAGTTATTGCTCAATTCAATTCCTTCAGTTAAAATTTGAAGCTTAATTCACCTTTACTGTTTGATCACTACACCTCAGTAGTAAATTCTGTTAGTAAAATAGTCTAATATTTATAATTAGCATGATAGTTTTTTTCACATTGTTAAAAGTGAAGATGCCAAAATATTTTATGCCATTTTTCCCAGTTATTTCTCAAATTCAAGAAGTTACATCTATGAAGTTCCAAATATTAGGTTGATATATTAATAATTAAACTCCAAGTTAGTTTGTTAATATCTCACATTATTGAGGTTCCCAATTTTCCTAAAATATAGTATACTGGGTTGAATAGTGCTGCTCAAATTATGAGAAGTGTCTTCTCTTATAAGAAGAGGAAGATTTGGATGTGGAGATACACAGGGAGAATGAGATATGATGATGGAGGCAGAGATTGGGTTTATGTGCCTACAGGCCAAGGAACACCAAGACATGCTGGGAACTATCAGAACCTAGGAGAGAGGCAGGAAAACACATTCTCCTTCACAGCCTCCAGTTGCATCAACTCTGCCTCTTCCTTGATTTTTGAACGGAGAAAGTAAATTTCTGTTGTTTTAAGCACACCAGACCATGGTACATTGTTAAGATAGCATTAGGAAACTTTATCAGATGCTGATAAAGACACAAGAAAAGAAATTTACAAAAGAAACAGGTTTATTGGACTTACAGTTCCACATGGCTGGGGAGGCTTCACAATCATGGTGGAAGTTTGTGAAACGCATGTCTCGCATCATGGCAGATGAGAGAAGAGAGCTTGAGCAGAAAAACTCCCCCTTTTAAAACCATTAGATCTTGTGAGATTTACTCACTCTCATGAGAACAGCACAGTAAAGACCTGCCCCGGTGATTCAATTGCCTCCCACTGGGTTCCTCTCAATACAGATGGGAATTCAAGATGACATTTGGGTGGGGACATGGCCAAACTATATCGTTCCACTTCTGGCACCTCCCAAAACTCATGTCCCCATATTTCAAAATCAATCATGTGTTCCCATCTGTCCCTCAAAGTCTTAACTCATTTCAGCCTTAACTCAAAAGTCTACAGTCCAAAGTTTCATTTGAGACAAGGCAAGTCCCTTCTGCCTACGAGCCTGTAAAATCAAAAGCATGTTAGTTATACTTCCTAGATACAATGGGGGTACAGGCATGGGTAAACATAGCCATTGCAAAGGGGAGAATTTGGCCAAAACAAAGCGGCTACAGACCCCATGCAAGTCTGAAATCTGGCGGGTAGTCAAATCTTAAAGCTCCAGAATGATGTCCTTTAACTCCATGTCTCACATCCAGATCACACTGATGCAAAAGGTGGGCTCCCATGGCCTTGTACAGCTCTCCCCTATGGCTTTGCTGGGTATAGCCTACCCCCTGTCTGCTTTCACGGGCTGCCCTTGAGTGTCTGTGGCTTTTCCAGGTGCACAGTGCAAGCTGTGGTGCATCTACCATTCTGGGGTCTGAAGGACAGTGGCCCTCTTCTCACAGCTCCACTAGGGAGTAGGGACTCTGTGTGGGGGTTCTGACCTTATGTTTCCCTTTTACACTGCCCTAGCAGAGGTTCTCCAGGAGGGCCCCACCTCTGCAGCAAACTTCTGCCTGGTCATCCAGGCATTTGCATGCATCCTCTGAAATCTAGGCAGAGGTTCCCAAACCCCAATTGTTGACTTCTGTGCACTTGCAGGTTTGACACCATGTGGAAGATGCCAAGGCTTGGGGCGTGCACCCTCTGAGCTTGCACCATGGCCTGAGCTCTATGTTGGCCCCTTCCAGCCACAGCTGGAGCAGCTGGGATGCAAGGCACCAAATCCCTAGGCTGCACACAGCACAGGGATCCTGGGCCCAGCCCACGAAACCACCACTTTTTGCTCCTAGACCTCTGGGAAACACAGACAAACCATATCATACACACACACACACACACACACACACACACACACACAGCCATGCACTATATCAGGATATATTCTAAAATATGTATCCCCCTTAATTATGGGGATACATTCTAATAAATGCATTCTTAGACAATTATGTCATTGTGCAAACATCATAGAGTGTACTCACACAATCCCAGATAGTATATGTGTTTTTATTTATATAGATTTTTAAAATATGAAAAACCAAATGTCTCAACATCATTGCTGAATATCAATCATTTCTTCTTGATCTGCAGTGGCAATATCAAGTGCCATATATCAGGTTGCATGTATGCTCCATTATACTCTTATGGGACCACCATAGTATATGTGATCCATCATTGACTAAAACATTATTATCTGGTGGAACATTATATGCTTATAAAAACACACACAAACACATACTGTTTCTATTATAAGAAAATTGAAGATAAGAATTTCCCCCCGTTACTCTATTAATGTATAAATTTACATTCAAACTAAAATGACTATCATTTATTCAAAACTATAATTTGATATTAACCATGTAAACTTAACATACCTGATTTGAATGGAGATCAACTAGAAAAAGAATAATCATAAATATTTGTATAAATTATATTCATATTTTATTGTGATTTTATTCATATACATTATGTGCCCTTTCAGAGAAAAATCAAATTTGCATTTTTATATTTTATTATGGGAATTTTTTGCCCATAACAGCAAAATAAAGATAATTGTATAGTCAATTATTCATATTAGTTGGTTTTAATTTTTTTGACAGGTATTACACAATTGCATTTAATTAACTCATTCAATAAGAAATAATGTTTAATAGGCTCACATAAAACATTGTTAACTTTTTAGAGTCTCTAATTGTTTTTGTTTTGCTAGAATTTGAGTGAATTAGATTACAGAAGCAGATTCAGGAGAAAATTTTTTTTTTTAATTAGACTTAAGATTGTACTGTGAATATAGTTACCTAAATATGGAAATAATAAGACTCCAAATTTAAATCCAGTGTTCTTTTTTAAAAAACATAAAACTAAGACATTATTTTATGCTTTTTTAGTAAGATTAACCAAGTCATTTTGACATTTTGTTATTTTTGTTATATTGACTAGCAACCCCCATAGAATAGTTCAAATAAGAATCATTTTGCTGTTACTGACAGTTAGAGATAAGATAACAAACACAAATACTGAGAATTTGTAAAAGTGCTATTCAATGAGTGTCATTAGTTTTCTATAATTCACACTTAAATAATACAAAACTGACATTTAAACTGGGTTTTAAAGTGTTTAAAATATCTTCTCTCATCCCTCTTAAGGAAGGATGTGAAAGCATTAAATTCTCTATAAATATTAGTAAAAGTGCTTTCTATGCTTTCATCACTTTACTTTGTTAATATTTTGTTTCTGAGGGTTCGCAGAAGGAGGAAGAGATGAATTTAACCTAGTTTTGAATAATGGAAACACCTAGAGAGCAAAGTTTACATCTTAGAAATTCTTTACGCAGCATAATATATAAAATTTAGAGTTGGTACAAATTTTTGAGTTAATTGTAAATATTACAAATTTGAGACAAAGTGTAATAAAACACAATAATGCTACTCACACATTATTACTGAGATAGAAAATTAAAGGTGTATTGAAGACAAAAAGGAAGAGAAAGTGAGTTTATTCTGCTCACCTATGAGCCTTTCGGGTTATGATAGAAAAATGCATTATCATAGAACATTTTGAAGATTTTTTAGATCTAGAAAGAAAAGTCAGAGACTATGAATAAATTAGGTGTTAGCTGAAGGTCATTTTAACAGTACTAATTTAGAAATATACTAGGAAAAAAGAATTTTCCATGTCTTAATGAGACACAATATATGCACAGGAGATATGATTAGATACGGTCTGAGATCCTGTTTGGACACCTTCTTAATTATCTTCAATAAAAATGAAATTTTAGAAATGAGATTAATTCAACAAATCAATTGATAATGACTAATTAATTGATGTCGGTTATCATTTATAAAGCAGTTTGAAGATGGAACATGCTAAGAGTGTTAAGTAGTATTATTAAGATTATAATGATGAAGAATGTGAATAAAAAGTCTGACATGGGGGCCATTTGTATTATGGACATTATAAAAGATGGCACAGTATTTAGGAAGAGATGCGCTCTTGTTTCTTACGTGTCTTTTCTTTTGCTTATACAATAAAGGTGTATTTTCAATTCCTTCTTTGGGTTTATTTCTAATGTCAATAAGTAAATCAAAAAGTATATACAGAGCCCCTATTATATACCAGATATTATTCTGACACTAAGGATTTGGTAGTGAACAAAATAAGCCAAACTCTTGCTTTTAAGGAATGTCATTCTGCTGAAAGAAGCAAAACTAAAGACATAAGCAGAGAAATAAGAATTTCAGAGAGCAATAAATGGTTTGGAGAAAATGCGCTAAGACAAATTGATGGAGGGTGTTCAGTGTGTAATATTGGCTAGGATAAATTGATGGAGGGTGTTTGGTGTGTAGGTAGGGCTCTATATTCAAGGATAAAATGATTGGGGCTGTTCTGTGTGTAGATGTGGTTCTACATTGGCTAGGATAAAATGATGGAGGGTGTTCAGTGTGTAGTAGGGCTGTATAGTCAAGGATAAAATGACTGAGCGTGTTCGGTGTGTAGGTAGTCTCTATAAAGGCTAGGATAATAATAATGGAGGGTGTTGGCATGTAGGCAGGGCTCTATATTCAAGGATAAAATGATGGAGGGTGTTTGGTGTGTAGTAGGGCTCTATATTGGCTGGGTAATCTGGGAAGCTCCTCTGAGCTCTGATATTAGGCCTGAATAATGAGAAACAGCCTACTAAGGAGCAAAGAAAATAAGAAATATGAGAGCCCAAGTCAGGAACAAGCTTGTCCAGTTCAAGAAACAAAAACAAATCAAATACATGTAGAATGTGCTGAGGACATAGTAGAATATGAAATCAGAGATGTCAGCAAGGGCATCGGGAACACATTCTAGTTGGGAAGAGAAGTTGTTGGAAGACTCAGAGAGAGCGATTGATCTGAGTTTTACTGTGGGTGCTAAATGAAGAATGCATTCTGTAGGTGTACGTTTAACAATGAGAATCCAGTTGAGAAGTTTTATTTGTTATGGTTTTTGTCGTTTTCTAAGAATGTTTTTGAGGTATATTTTAAATACCATAAAATTCACCCATCGCAAGTGTATACTTCAATAATATTTAGCAACTTTAACAAGCAGCTTAACTATCATTATGAATTTGTTTTCGAACATACTCCCTCACTCCTCCATGACGCCTCACACTTATTTACAAAGAATCCCACCACCAGCAGCTCAGACAACCATTAATCTGCCTCCTGTCTCTGTAAATTTGCTTTTTATGAACACTTCATATACATGGATTCATACAATGTTGGTCAGAGAGCTGGAGGCAGCTTATACCAGGACAATAGTAGGAGAGATAGTGAGAGGAGTTCTGTTTTGAGATTTGTTTTGGTGGTAGAGCTGACAGGGATCTTCTGTTGGATTCATTGTGGAGTTTGAGGAGAATACAAGGACAAATAAATAATTCTCAGATTTAAAAACAATGCTATGTGTGATTAGGAAGGTGGCAATCCTATTATGATGATAAAAAATCTTCAAGGAGAAAATATGCATTTGTTTTTGGCATATAGTATTTCAGACTTTTATTAAATATTAAACTATAGATATAAAATAGGCAGTAGGGGATAATAAATCTGGGAGTCGTCAGAGGACTGGTGTTTAAACTGCTGGCATGTATGAGATTACCTAGTGAGATATGAGAGTGAGACTGAGACTGAGAAAGAGAATATCAAGTCCCTGGAAACACTAACAGCCCGGCATATATAATTTGCAGAGCCCACTACTAAATAAAAATGCAGCCCCTTTTAAAACAGATTTCTAGAAACTTGAATAACTTCCAGGTCCTAATCTAGCATGTAAGGAGTTTGGAAGTCGTCACTCTGTCGTGATAAGTAAAAACACACAAACTAAAAAAAGTCAACAACTCTTCTAAGATGCATCGTAGAAGTGAGCTCACAACTAGGACAAATAAGTGGATACAGGGACTCACAATGTACCACAGTAGAAACCCAGGAACGGAAATCTCCTGGGAACCAGGGTCAGGTTGGAAAATCTGAAAGTAATCGATGAATTGCTAGAGGCTAGTGTGAACAAGTCGGAGATTCAAAAACTTCACAGAAACCCAGTCATAGGGAGGTTCTCCTACCTTTGTGAATTTTACCGTCAGGAACTCTACCAGGTGTCACAGTCACCCCTTACGTTTCTGGGGAAGGGGAAAAGTAACCGTTTTGAAATACAACAGAGCATTCTCTTCTTTTTAGCAAAACCTGCTCTCAGGAGAAAATATTTTACAAGAGCTTAACCTGCTGGGAGTATGTTAGAGCCCAGTGCATCTAGGGAGAAGGAAATACCCAACTCTAGTAGTTTCTTTCACCCAGGACATTATGCCTGACTTTCAACAAAAAATTATTAAAAGGCAGAAACAAAGTTTAAAGGCATGGGTGGATCACCTGAGCTCGGTAGTTCGAGACCAGCCTGACCACCAAGGTGAAACCCTATCTCTAATAAAAATACAAAAATTATCTGGGCGTGGTGGCTTCCACCTGTAGTCCCAGCTACTCGGGAGGCTGAGACAGGAGAATTGCTTGAATCCGGGAGGTGGAGGTTGCAGTGAGCCGACATCGGGCCACTGCACTCCAGCCTGGGTGATGGAGCAAGACTTCGTCTCAGAAAAAAAAAACAAAAAACAAAAAAAAAAGCATCAGCACTACAGTCAGGTCAGGAACGTTGGGATTTTCAGATCAGAATTAAAAAAAAAACTATTATATAATATGCTAAGGCTTTTAATGAGAAAAGTGTACAACATGCAAGAATAAACAGATACTATAAGCAGGGAGATGGAAATTCTAAGAAAAAGTAAAAATTAAATGCTAGAAATACTGTAATAGAAATGAAGAATGCTTTTGGTGGATGCTTTACTGGACTGGACACAACTGAGGAAAAAATATCTGAGCTTGAGGATAGAGCAGTGAAAATTTCCAAAACTGCAAAGAAAAGAGAAAAAAGATAGAAAAAAAAACAGAACACAATATCCAAGAACTCTGGGGCAGCTGCAAAAAGTATAACACATGTACAAAGAAAATACTGGAAAGAGAAAAAAGAAAGGAAAAGAAGTGATATCTGTAGCAATAATTACTGACATTTTCCCCCAAATTAATGTCACACACCAAACCACAGACCCAGAAACCTCAAAAAACACCAAGCAAAAAATATAAATGCCAAAAAACCCACAATATTGCACTTAGTAGTATATTCAAATTTCAGAAAATCAAAGCTGAGTCAAAAATCTTGAAAGAAGCCAGAGGGGGAAAAAGCACCATAAATATAGAAAGGAAAATATTAGTATTACATCTGACTTCTCTTCAGAAATCCTGCAAACAAGAAGAGAGTGGAGTCAGATGTTTAAAGCGTTAAGAGAAAGAAACCACACCAACCTAGAATTCTATACCATACAAATTATTTTTCAGAAGTGAAGAAGAAATAAATTATTTCTTAGACAAACAAAAATTGAGGAAATGTGTTGCAAATAGAACCACTGTGCAAGAAGACTTAAAAGAAGTTCTTCCTGAAGAAAGAACAATATAGATCAGTAAATTGATTCTACATAAAAAGGAAGGAGCATCAGAAAATGAGTGAGTGAACATAAAAGAAACCCTTTTATTTTTCTTATTATTTAATAAATAAGTTATCAGTTAATCAGATAAAAAATTATTCAAGATAATAATAGCAATAATGTTCTCTATCATGTATGCTTACCTGTATGTGTATATATATGCTTATGTCTAAGTGAAATGATTGACAGCAATGATACAAGGAACAGAAGAGTGGAACTGGGTATATGTTATTCTTATAAAGTACTTGTATTACCAGGGAAGCTGAGTAATGTTATTGGAAAGTGAACTTGGATTAGTTGTAAATGTATATCCCAAGCTCTAGGGAAAGCACTAAAAAAGTGAAAAATAAATATGCAAAGACAAAATAAAAAAAGTGGATATGATAGGAAAGAAGATAAAATGGAATAATAAAATGTTCAGTTAAAATCACAAAAGGCAGAAAATGTGTGGAAGACAAAAACAGGAACAAAGAACAAGAGCAACAAATGGAAAACAGTAATAAATATGGTAGCTATTAATCCAAACTCATCAATAATCACCTTAAACTTTGATTAAAAGACATTGTCAGAGTGGATCATAAAACAAGACTCAACTACATATTATCTACAAAACCTCCATTTTAAATATAAGAATACATATAGATTAGAAGTAAATGAAGAAAGAAAGAATATAGCATGCCAACACCAATAAAAATGGAAGTGCCTATATTAATTTCAGAAAGAGCAGACAGATTCTGAGCAAGAAAATTTATCAGCCATAAAGAGGAGCACTACATGAAGATAAACGGGTCAATTTTTCATGAAGACATAACAATCCTTAACATACAGGTACCTAACATTAAAGGTTCAAAATATGTGAAGCAAAAACGCATAGAACTGCAAAGAGACATACATGAATCCACTATTATAGTTGCAGATCATAGCATACCTCTTATCAGAAATAGATGCAGTAGGAAGAAAATAAACTGGGACATAGCTATATTTAATAGCACCATCAGTTAACTGGATATGATTCATATCTATAGACTACATTATCAAACAAAATAGTACACATTCTTTCCTAGCTCACGTAGAATGTTCACCAAGATATGTCACATTCAGGACCATAAAACACACCCAACAAATGTAAAATAGAAATTATATACCATCTGCTCTCAGACCAAAATGTAATTAAACTGGAAATCAATAACAGAAAGTCACTTGAAAGATTCCAAAATACTTGGAGATTACACAACATACTTTTAAATGATATATAGGACAAATAAGAAATCTCAAGATCAATATAAAAATATTTTTAACTAAATTAAAATGAAAATGTAACTTATCAAAAGTTGTGATATGTAGTGAAAGCAGTGCTTAACGGGAAATTTATAGCATCGAATGCATTAATTAGAAAAAAAGAAAGATCCAAACCCAATAATCTAAGCTACTGCTTTAGAAAATTTGGAAAAGAAGAGCAAACTTAATTTAAAGTAAGCAGGAGAAAAGACATAAATGACAATCAGAGCAGAGGTCAATGGAATTGAAAAGAGGAAATAGGGAAAATCAACAATCAAAACCTCATTCTTTAAAAAGACCAATAAAATCAATAAGCCAAGGCTGACTGAGAAAAAAATGTTAGAGGATGCCAATTACTAATATCAGAAATTAAAGAGAAATTATTACTGCAGATGCCATGGACATAAAAAGGATAATAAAGGAATACTATGAACAACTCTTTGCCTATAAATTTGATAACGTAGATAAAATGGACCAATTCCTTGAAAGACACAATCTGCCAAAACTCACACAACAAGAAATAAACAATCTGAATAGGCCTGTATCTATTAAAAAATTGAATTAATAACTTGTAAACTTCCAAAAGAGAAAACACCAGGCCTTGCTGGATTCACTGGTGAATTCTACTGAACATTTAAGGAATAAACTACACCAATTTTCCACAGTTTCCTCCAGAAGATAGAAGGAGAAGGCATACTTTCTAACTCATGCTATGAGGCAAACATCATCCATCACCTTATACTAAAACTAGACAAAAATATTGCAAGAATAGAAAACTACAGACCAGTATCTCTCATAAACCTAGATGCAAAAATCTTCAATAAAATAGTAGCAAATTGAAACCAACAAATGTATAAAATGAATATACACCATGTCAAAGTGAAATTTATTCCAGGTATGCAAGACTGGTTCAACATATGAAAATCAATTAATGTAATCCATCGTGTCATAGACTAATGAAGAAAAATCACTATTATGTCAATAAAGAAAAAATAACTTGACAGAAGTCAAAACCACTTATGATGAAAATTCTCTTCAAACTAGGATTAGAGAACATCCTCAAATTGATAAAGAACATCTACTAAAGACCTATAGCTAATATCATACTTGATGAAAAACTCTGAATTTTCCTGCTAAGTCAGGAACAAGGCAAGTATGTCCCTTCTCATCCCTCATTGGTAACATTGTACTATAAATTCTAGAAAATGCATAAGATGACAAAAGGAAACAAAAAGCATACATATTGGGAAAATGTATAAAACTGTAATCATTTGCAGATGACCTGACTGTATAGAGAATCTTAAAGAATTGACAAAAAATCATGGCACTGAAAACGCAATTATAGCTAAGTGGTAGGACACACAGTTAATATACAAAAGTCAATTTATTTCCTCTGTACCAGCAATAAACAAGTAGAATTTAAAATTAGAAACATATTATCACTTATTTACATTAGCATCCCCCAAAATAAAATTCTTAGGCATAAATCTAACAAATATAGACAAGAAAACCTGTACAGAATAATTATAAAAATATGAAGAAAAATATCCAAGAACTTAATAGATGAAGAAATATTCTATGCCATACAATAGGAAGATGATATATTGCAAAGATGTCAATTCTTCCCAATTTCATGTATAAGTTCAACACAATCCCAATAAAAATATCAACCAGTTATCTTGCAGATATCATCAGATTCTTTCTAGAGTTTATATGGTGCATGAAAAGTCACAGAAAAGCCAACTCAATATTGAAGTATAAGAAGAAAGTTGAAGAACTAATGCCACCTGACTTCAAGAGTTGCTATAAGCTATAATAATTAAGACAGTGTGGTTTTGGCAAATGAATAGACAAATAGATAAATGAAACAGAATAGACAGCCCAGAAACTGATCCATATAAGCAACTGATCTTTGAGAAGGGTGCAACAGCAAGACGAAGGAGAAAAGATAGTCTTTTTAACAAATGGTTCTGGAACCATTTAGCACATACATGACAACACACAAATATAGGCCCAGACTTTACATCTCTGACAAAAATTAACTCAAAATGGATCACAATCTAAATGTAAAATGAACAACTATAAACTTCCTTAAAATTAACATAGGAAAAAATCTAGTTGACTTTGGGTATGGTGGTAACTTTTTAGATACAACACCAAAGGGATGATTTATGAAAGAAATAATTAGCTGTATTTCATTGAAATTTAAAACTTCACTCCTGTAAACAAACAAACAAACAAGAAACTGTCAAGAGGATGAGAAGACAAGCCACAGACAAGGTGAAAATGTTTGTGGAAGACATGTCTAATAATGGACCATTATCCAAATATACAAATAAGCCTTAAAACTAAGCAATAAGAAAATGAACAATCCAATTTAAAAATGGGCAAAAGACCTGAATAGACCCCTCACTAAAGAAGATAAACAGATGGTGAACAAGCTTATGAAAAGATGCTCAATATTATATATCAATAGGGACTTGCAAAGTAAAAAAAAAATGAAATACTACTACAAACCTATTGAATCCAAAATACTGACAGCATCAAATGCTGACAAGGATGTGAAGCAACCAGAACTTTCCTGGTTGTAGCAAAACGGTACAACCACTTGGAAGATAGTTTGGCACTTTCTTATAAAACCAAACATACTGTTACTATATGATCCAGCAATTGTATTTCTTGTTGTTTATGAAAATGAATTGAAAACTTACATCCATATAAAAATTTGCATGAGTGTTTATAGCAGCTTTTTCATAATTGCTAAAACTTTGGAGCAAACAAGATATTCTATAGTCGGTAAGTGAATAAAGAAACTACTGTACAATCAGACAATAAAATATTTTTCAGCACTGAAAAGAAATGAGCTATCAACAAGAAAAGACGTAGAGAAATCTTAAATACATAATGCTAAGTAAAAGAAGCCAATCTAAAAGGCTACATGCCTGTATGAGTACAACTATGTGACACTCTGGGAAAGGCAAGAGTGTGGAGACAGAAAAGGATTGGTGGTTACCAGGGGCTCTCGGAGGGAGACATGAACAGATAGAACACATAGGATTTTTAGGCCAGTGAAACTATTCTATATGATGCTAAAATGGTAGTTACATGTCATTCTACATTTGTCCAGAAACCATAGAATGTACAACCACCAAGAATGAGCCCCAGTGTAAACTATGATGTGTCAACGTAGGTTCACCGATTGTAACAAATGTACCTCTGTGCTGGAGCCCACTGATAATGGGGGAGACTGTAGTGGCAGGTGGGTGCAGGGAGGGATATATGGGAACTTCTGTACTTTCTGCTTAATTTTGCTCTGAACCTAAAATGGCTTTAACAATTAACATTTATTAAGTTTTTTATTTACTGAGAACTTTAGGAAGGCAGCAGCAGAGAATTAAATGTAGCACCAGACTCTTAAGTAGGAAGCTCTGTAACACTGCACAGGTGGCACACCCATGAAATCAGCCCTAATGTTGGGGGAAAAGAAAGAAGACATCAAAGGAAACTGTGTCTTACAGAAACTTAAAGAAATGAAGATCTTATGGACCCCCCAAAATTGAGATGTTGAAGGCCTAGGTCCCAAAGTGACTTGTCTTTGGAGATAGGACCTTTAAAGAGGTAAGTAAGTTTAAAAGAGGTTACCAAGCATCATCAAGCTTTAATGTGATAGAACTGATGTCCTTATGAGGAGGGGTCACCAGAGCTCTCTCTTTCTACACACACACACACACACACACACCACATACACACATGGAGAGAGACAAAAGGCCATATGAGGACACAGCCAGAAAGCTGCCACCTGAAAACCAGGAAGAAAGTGTTTATGAGAACCCAATCTTGATGGCAATTCGATCTTGGACTTCTAGTCTCCAGAACTGTGGGAAAATAGATTTCTATTGTTTAAGCCATCCAGTATGTGGTACTTTGTTAGGGCAGCCCTAGCAGACTAACACAAAAGGTTTCAAAGAGGAAGTAGTGACTATGTCCAATGCTGCTGAAGTAACGTAGAATGAACATTGAGATTTGACAACAACTGTAGGGATTTATATCAACTGTCACGTCCATAAGATCTCTTTTATTTTAATAAGAAGGAGAGCTTGTTTGAAATAGTTTGACCAGACAATGCAAATGAGGAAAGAGAGCTGCTCAGTTATCAATTATAAACTAGTTCTTTGTAATGGTCAACATTTTACTTTCCTATTGTTTTCCAATGCCATTATTATGAAATTAGATTTCTTGTACCCTAATTCATTCTCCAAATCTCTATCAACCTAATCTTGTGAAAATTAAAATTTTCATGCACGTCCCCTAGTCAAAAACTCTTACGTTTGAGATGAAGTCTAGGTATTTAACGATGGGTTCTAAAATCTTCCTAATACAATTCCAGTAATTTGATATGATTTATTCTTCACAAATTCTAGAATGAAATTTTTGCCCTTGGGGTGAGTTTACCTAAGACTATCCTTGTGCTCCATAATTCACACAGGACTCAGATAAAGCTGTTATAGTTTGGGTTACAGTTTATTACCATGAAGAGATTCAGATTAAAATTAGCAAGGGGAAAATGTATACAGGGCAAAATCTAGGAGAAACTAGGCACAAATTTCCATGTATTATCTCCCAGAAAGCCACGCATGCTTAATTCTCTTAGAAGTAATATGTGAGAATGCATTCAAAGTTTTGTCAAACAGGGAAGCTCACATACGCCTTGGTATCTAGTGTTTTTATTGAGTTGAATGACATAGACATGCAGCCCCTAAGGAAATGACCTCTGCAACTCAGACTCCAGCTCCCCAGAGAGAAAACAGGGGTTTTTCATCAACTACATGTTGGCATAAGCTATCTGATCAAATTGATACCAGGTAGCCCAATGCATCAGGCACACAAGAATGCTCACTGGGCAGAATATTCCAGGGTTCACACTTTACTTCCCAAGAGCAGACCAAAATCTGTCCTGCATAACCTTCCAAAAATAACTTTCTTACTTGATTTTAAGTTGACAGGGAAAGATGGAGCTGTGGAAAGGGGAGTGTGGGGGAAGGAGACATCATTTAGTTAATACTTACCATATGTATCAAGTATTGGGTCAGGCACTATAAATGCATTGTCTGTTTTTTCCTCATGACAGCCCTTTAAGTTGGTTGGGATTCATTTATTTGTTTACTTAAAAAATATTTACTAAGAAGCTGCTGAAGTGTCTTGTGACACTTTCTGTGTCTGGAAAGATTTTGTAAATCCTTAATTACAATCCTTAGTTTCAGAGTGATTTGCGTACCAAAAGCTCATAACGTAGACAATTCTATTTAATTCAATGAATGTTTACTAAATGCTTATTATATACTGTACTGAATTTAAGTTTATGGCTTATATGCACTATATTTTCTGTAACTATTAAATAGTGGAGATGATAACATTCACTGATAATAAATTTTCCTTATTTAGTTGCACTTAGAATTTAATGTCTTCATCATGTATTTTATTCATATACAATTTCTTGATTAAAAAGTAATCTATAATTGTTATTAAAATATTCAAAAAATACAGAGCATAAAAACAAAACTAAAATATAAATCACTTATTAGCTCATTCAATCTGAAAAATTATAGTTTATTTAGCTATCATCCTACATAGCCTGATCCTGTACATAGTTGTAATCTTGCTCTTAATAACAAAATCATTGTATTACAGGAAAGGGGTCCTGATCCAGACCCCAAGAGAAGGTTCTTGGATCTTGCACGAGAAAGAATTCAGGGCCAGTCTGTAAATTGAAAACAAGCTTTTTAGAAAAGTAAAGGAATAAAGGAATGGCAACTCCATAGACAGAGATGCCCCAAGAGCTGCTGGTTGTCCATTTTTATGGTTATTTCTGGATTATATGCTAAACAAGGGGTGGATTATTCATGCCTCCCCTTTTTAGGCCATATAGGGTAACTTCCTGATGTTGCCATGGCATTTGTGAACTGTCATGGTGCTGGTAGGAGTGTAGCAGTGAGGACGGCCAGAGGTCACTATTGTTGCCATCTTGGTTTTGGTGGGTTTTAGCCAGATTCTTTACTGCAACCTGTTTTATCAGCAAGGTCTTTATGACCTGTATCTTGTGCTGACCTCCCATCTCATCCTGTAACTCAGAATGCCTTAACAATCTGTGAATGTAGCCCAGTAGGTCTCAGCCTCATTTTGCCCAGCTCCTATTCAAGCTCCTATTCATGCTCTGGTTCACATGCTTCTGACATTTCCCCCTCCCTTTTATAAGAGAACCGTTAATCCTAAAGGTTGCAGAGAGATGAAGATCCATCTTCTGTAACTTCTTGAAGCCGAATAGAGACAACGACCTTCTTTCCTAACTATTAAGGTCTCTCATATTCAGGGTAGAGAGGAGCTCAGTCAGAAAGCATCAGTATGGTGAGGGCCATTCATGACTCTTGAGGTCTGACAAGAGGTGATATCTGGAAGATTAATAAGTGTTCAATTTGAAAAACATTCAGTAAGCTTGTCAGGCATTCCTACAGAGTACAATGGCAATATATTCCACAACAGTAAAGCAAAATAAGTAAAATTATCCCAAGTAAATTAAATTAGAAGTCTTTCCATGAACTGGGCAACTCTTGGAACCAAGCTGATATAGAGTTGCTAGCTGATTCCAATGTGCCCAGAATTAGAATATTGATCCAGATTTTTACATTACCCAACACTCCTGTTTCTTGTGAATAGCAGCCAGAGATCACGGTTGGTTCACAGGAATAAGCAGGGTTAGCCTAAATGACAGAAACAAACTTAAAAACAACCGATGAGACTAGAATCTAATAACAAATGTACCACAGTTCTTGAAACATAATTTCTCTCTACAGTTTTCTCATTTTTATTAAAGACAAATCATGGTAAGATTGATTTGCTTTATTATATTTGGCCTGATTATTTATATAATGTGCAAGAGGAATAATTACTTTTCACATAAGCTCTTTTTAAATTGGCTTTGATGGAACTCTGTTCCATAGAAGGAATCTCAGGTAAGACTTCTTTAGTGTCGAGCTCTACCATGGCTTTGTAACCTCAAATGCCTATGAATTGAGTAAATACCTCTTCTCTTGGGTTCCCAAGATAACTTGGGGCTCCTGGACAGTGACATTCTTTACTTGCCACAGGTCAGAAACCCTGTACAGGGACTGTTGTAGACAATGTCTGAGGCCAGTTCCTCAAGAGGCTTTTATTGGCTTTATAAGTGAAGTTTGATTCCTTAAAGGAAAACACATCATTCCAATCAAAGCCTTGGTAAAATAACCAGTTTCCCCAATTGTTTCCTGTTTCAAAAGAAAACAGATTCTTATTGCACTTATGCAAATAACTTTATTGCCATAAATTAAGAATACTGACAAATAGTTTCCAAATCCTGGATAAATCAGATAGAGAGAAACACATGCTCCAAAGTTTGTTCACAGGAGTATACATTACTCAATTGTCAAAAGCTGGAAATAGCTTAGAAATAGCTTAAAAATAGCTTAAAACTTGACTCTGAAAAATGAAACAAAGGACCAGCAACATTTTAATCAAAAAGTTAAGAATACCTCAGACTTCATTAGTTTAGTTTATGCAGTTAACTCCTGTTCTGTTTGATATTCATGAACATTTCAGCTCTCCATGAGTACTGAGAGCTTTTTCCTGTATTCTGATATCAAAATTTCCAAAGTTATCATAAAACCTGCATTTAAGAACATCTAGAGTTGATTATAAATGCACATTTTAAAGAGGATGAAAACAAGAAAATTTTTTTGTGGATGATAAAATTTTAGGACAGCCACAGTCAAAAACATGATCGACAAAGAAATTTGGTTACCTTTGTGGCTTACAATAATTATAATTATTAATTAACATATACTGAGTCATATCAGAATTACAGGAGTTTCCCATTATTTTGGAACACATATCAATAAATATTTATACAAATATAGCCCAAAGAAAGCCAAACACTATTTTACATTTGACAATGCTTCTTTTATGATTTTTTATAACAAATAAGCCAAATGTCACTGTGGCATTAGTGCATTATTGATGTCAAACCCAATTCTTAATAAAACCTTATAGATGAATGTATTTAATTTTAATTAATTTGACCATAAGTTAAGATTTTCATAAAACTTTTATAACCCTTTACAAATTTTGTTAAAGAGCAGATCAGTGCTCTAAGAAAAACTTGTGCTTTTATTCCAATGCTTAATTTACAGAAAAACTGAATAACACCACTTTAACTTTAGCCAATATGTTCACAAACAGAATATCTTTTACAAGTAATTTTTCACAAACCTTCCACAACTTGCTTAAACCTTCAGCTTTATTCTAACTTAAAACAATCCTTTAACCCTCTAAACTTAGGCAAGAAATCTGGATTCCCAGGCCTTCCTATAATCTTTTGCCAAAAACACATTTTCCTTACACACCTTGCATGTAAAATTGTTTATTCAGTAGTCTTAATTACATGTTACAATGTTAACTCTTAGTGACTTACTTTTGGTGAAAACCTTGGTAAGTCACAATTTTAATTACATAGTAGGTGTGGAGCCTAGGACCCAGACAGAAGTACAGATAAGGTCTGGCTCTTTCTAGCATCTAACTTCACATGTTCCAGGCCTCCGTAGTTGTAAAGCAGTCAAGTTATACAGTGAAAGTCATAGTGGCATTTTAAGAAGGATTTAGGAGGCCTAATCACCTTTAAATTGTACAACATTTGTTGCATAAATTTCCTTTTTATAAATTATTTCATGACTCACATAGACCATGTGTGATATGTTTGGACTTTTTGACTTGTCCTAAACATCCCTTTTTTACAAAGAAACGGTCATTTTACTTTAGGACAAGAATTTACCATACAACAGACTTTATAATATAAAATTTCTTTTCTTTATAAACTTCTTTTCATAGATAGGGGGCATGGCTAATTCTACATGTCAACAGGCCTTTTCTAGAAACTAATAACTTCAAGGTAGGTAAATTGAACAATTTTCAAAAGTCAAAGAAGCAGTTTATGATTTTAAAGCAAGCTTAATATCTGGCCTGCATAATTTAAACTAAATATTTACATTTTTGAAGATATTTCTACTTTACCAATACTCTTTAAAACTGTTTTTATTTCCAAAAGATTACTAAAGTTATATGACCCAAAAGGTATTACGCTTTTTACTTTTCTGACAAAATATTTGATTTAAGGTCTTATTATTATTATTAAACCAATTAATTAAAGCTCTTTTATATATAAACATCACACACATAATAAACATCAATACACAGAAGAAGATAAAGGACTCATCTTCCAAACCAGGAATGGAACACTGAACCCGGGCCACCATTGTGATGGTGGAGACCAACAGATAGTACTGCCATGTGGTTACAAGGTCAAGCTCCTAAGGATATGCAAGACAAAAAGGAAACCACATTCAGTTTTCTCAGGGACCTGCAGCAAAGTTTGTAACTGACCAGATTGCTGGGTCATCTTTGAACAGTAGGCTTACAGGTATCCTAAGCTCATGTTCTACCGTAAGGTACCCCTCTTTATGACAGAATGATACAGGAAGCCACACAAAGCAGACCAGATTGGCTGCAGCTTAAGACTAGCCTCACAAACCCTTTTTTACATTAATCAAAACTTTACAAGAGATAAACAGTAATTTTTACCATTTAACCAGTTTGCACAAACACACACACAGAGAGAGAGAGAGAGAAAGAGAGAGAGAGAAAGCATTGCCTGAGGCAGAGTGGGGAAGGCGTGGCGCTCAGGGAGGCCAGAGAAAGACCCACCAATTGTAGTGACACGAAAAGTACAGGAGGCTGCTTATCAGTCAAGAAGAAATCTTTTCCAGCAGTCCCATCAGCTCTGAAGTGTCCCTTTTTAGGGAGGAAAAAGCTCCCCATGTCCCATGATCCTGTGTATGCCTAATCCTGCCACCCACAGCCTTCAGCAAAGAGTGCACAATAGATTAATCCAAAGAGAATAGCAGTTAACATCCTTAGCTGAAAGGGACTTTACCGAGAGGGACTTTACTGAGAGGGGCTTTAACCCACTAAATCTTCTAAGGGACTGTAACCTTCCTAAGTTTTTTTGGGCCTCAAACTCAAGGTCAGTTAAGTGTCCTTGCCTTTTATTAAGAGGGCCCTCTAACCCACTCTGTCTTAGGAGAGACTCTAACTCTCCTAAATTGGGCTTCTTACCCAATCCTATCCTTTACCTGGGTACCCCACCACTTACCCAAAGCTGGCTGATCAGTCTATTTCCTTTGGGTCAGGAGGTTTCTTCAGTATCATCCCTTCAGAGTTAGCCAGAAAGATGTTACTGGACCCCACAACTTACCCAAAGTTAGCCTTTGGGCTGGGGATTTCCACATTATAGTCTCTTCTGCAGTCTCCCGAAAGATGTTACAGGAAAGGGGTCCCAATCCAGACCACAACAGAGGGTTCTTGGATCACACACAAGGAATAATTCAGGGCAAGTTCGTAAACTGAAACCAAGTTTATTTGAAAAGTAAAGGAATAAGAGAATGGCTACTTCATAGACAGAGCAACCCTGAGGGCTGCTGTTTGCCCTTTTTAATGGTTATTTCTTGATTATGTGTTAAACAAGTGGTGGATTATTCATGCCTCCCCTTTTTAGACCATATAGGGTAACTTCCTGATGTTGCCCTGGCATTTGTGAACTGTCATGGTGCTGGTGGGAGTATAGCAGTGAGGACGACCAGAGGTTACTCTCATCACCATCTCGGTTTTGGTGGGTTTTAGCTGGCATCTTTACTGGAATCTGTTTTATCAGACAGGTCTTTATGACCTTTATTTTGTGCCGCCCTCCTATCTCATCCTGTGACTTAGAATGCCTTTACGATCTGGGAATGCAGCCCAGTAGGTCTCAGCCTCATTTTACCCAGCTCCTATTCAAGATGGAGTTGCTCTGGTTTTCATTCCTCTGACAGTTGCATCTCCGTATGTTTATGTTACTGAAACCCCAGGGGTTTGATCTAAGGCCTGCTGCTTGCCGCACAGAAAACCAATCACTGAGAAAATGATTATCACCCAGGATGGGTGCTACAGCCAAGGGGATTGGTGATCAGTCTCAACTTCATCCCCTGACCAACTAACATGAAGGGTTAGTATATATGGGAAGAAATGTAACTGTGTATGGAAAAACCGGAACTCAGGGGGGATAAGGAAGGAATCATGATCAATGAGGAGCCTGGCGTCTCATTGTCTAAATGCAATGATCGGGTTTTAGTCCTTTGATATTGTAAGTTTCCAGCTTTAAGACTGGAATGGCCGGTTTCTATGTTTATCCGAAAGAAATATCCATGGGACCATCGAGTCCATTTCATTTAGGTACTATGTAGCCATTACAGCACAGATTGACATAACTGGTATATTTTCATTTATTACCATTTTAAAAATGCTTACAATATGGCAAGGCTCACACAAAGTACTTTTCATTTATATCTCACTAATTCCTTTAAGTGACTCATTGATATATTTGTTATCATGATTGTACAGGCGAGGCTTTGAGAATTAAGGAATTCAAGCAATATACCCAATATTACAGAATTAGGAATAGTGGTTCTAAGTTTTACACAAAGTCTCTCCTATTCCAAAGTTCTAAATCATCTTTAATTATCCCAGGTGTGCATCTCGTGTGTCTTTAATAATGTTTCAGGCATCTGGAAAACAAGCCTGGTGCCCTGTGCTTCTTTTGTATGCCCCTCAATATTTAATATACTGCTAGGCACATGTTTGTTTCTAATTAAACTCTTAATTAATTTAATTGAATTTACCATATGGTCTTTGCTATGTCATTATTAATTTATTTCTGTTATTGATTTGAACTTGGTAAAACTACACATAATCTCTATTGGTAAAAACATTAAGATGTATGATTTATATGGTTTAGTCAAGATATTGTTTTAATAAAACACTTCTGGTTTATATTATCAATAACAGAGTTTCCTATAATTAGTTTTCTCCCCAAATGGTATGTGTCTAAATGTTTTTAAAAGTAAAATCATTGATGAATGTCTAAATTGCACTATTTATCAAATAGTGACAAAAATCAAAAGCATAGATCAAACAAATATACATTAAAAGAAATCCACATTGTATTTCCAGATAACTTACTGGTTAATAAATGGAAGAAAATAATGCAGTATTATTGTCATTTCCATATACAGCCCCTCAAGTCAACTTTCTTTTGTGAGCCTTCAAGCCACAGCCTTTTACATATGTGTTTTTGCAATGACTCTTAGGAAAATTGTTTTGCTGTAATACTTATTCACTCCATTTTTTTTTCTGAAATGTCGTTCCAAAAGGGCAATTTAGTTTTTGTTGGGTGCAAAACTATTCAATGGGCCAACAGGTATCAAGACCAACCATCATGTATGTAAAATAATTGAGAAGCAAAATAATCATTGAGGAACAAGAAAATGATACCTTTTTGAAAACAGAGAGTATAGGATTTGCTCCAATGTTTTGAAATAATTAGAAAAATGTCAGAGAAATATAAGCTTTAGAAAATCCTCGGTAATTGATTCTTACCTTTGAATTTTTCATAACTGCTTTAAGTATCAGCTGAAGTAATGTTGAACAAAATGTGTAATAATCAGATATTGTTTGATTTGAAATATGTATTAATTTGAAATGTTTAGATGGTTAATGTTAGCGAAGTTAAAGAGATTTGTACTTAAACGATTGCGAGTATTTTTATAACTAAGCAATATGCAAGAAGCATGCCTCTAATGTAAGTAAAGGTGAGTATTGAGAGTTGGATATTTTCATATGATAATTAGCTACTCATTAATGTGTGATATCTAATAGATACTTTGAGTTCCTGAAAGTCATTGAAAGCCATGAAACTCAATTATTCTACAAACTCTGTGGATTAGAGTGTTTAATTATGTAAATTAACTGTCTCCCTACCTTTCCGTCTGGACTGGTTTGAATTGGTAGGCTTTAGGTATAGTGGTATGCGAATGCAGGGATTATCTGAAATCTAGAACACCGGAATAAAAATCTGACATATCATATAAATTTAGAGTAAAAAAGGGAAGCAAAATTTAGCTTTAGAAAATGTAAGATGAAACAAATTAAAAACCCCACAATGTTATTTAAGTTACTATAATGCTTAAAATGTATTTATAATACAGTTTATTATAAACAAACCTATATAATTCCAAATTTAGACATAATTAATTGCCAAATTATAAGTACTTGTTAACCTTTAAAAAAGTTTGTAAAGTATGGGAATATTTAGACAATGCTTATTGTAAATTTAATCTCATTCATTCTCAATATCTATACATACTTAGCTTAGTGGCAGAAATCAAGATGCTGAAGTAATATTTTCTAAAAACATATTATCCTTTCAGCATAACATTCAATAATAAAGTATAATACTTAATATGTCTTTGGGGAATTTGTTCCTTTAGCCTAGCCCTCTTCTCTCCACTCTGGATTCTTGTATATAACTGCCTGATTGACATTACTGTTTGGATGTCCAATAGCCATCTCAAACTTACTATGTTTTCCCCAAACCTTACTTTTCCTCTGACTTTCTCAGTCTAGTTAAGAGCAACTCCATCTCTCTAATGTTCAGGTCAGCCATCTTAGTCTTTCTTAACTCTTTTTCCCAAACTGTATGTCCAAGCCATCAGGAAATCCTGTTGGAGACAGTGAATCTCTAAATCTGTATCAAGAACCCATTTTCATTTACCATCTCCACTGTTTTCAACTTGATCCATTATTTCTTGCTGTTTTCCCAGCTCCTCTCTGGGCCTCTTCAGTTCACTGTCTAGTGAACAGCTACAGTGAAGCTTTTACAATTTAAATCTTCATATAGTTTTCATCAGTGAAAACTGTCAAGTGGATTCCTACCATGCCCACACTCAAAGCCAATGTCTTTCTATTGCTCACAAGACCCTTCATAATTTGCCTCAGTTACTATCATTCATTGCTGCTATATTATGTCAAGTTCCCATTTTTTTATGTAAAAACAATGAATATAACCCAGTTCATGTAACTCAAAGAAGTCAAGAAGATAACCCAGTTAGACACCTGACCATAAAAGAATATAGCCATATAAATATAATAGCCAAAATCCTGGTTCAAATGGATACAAGCAAATATAATTTTGTGCAATATTGATATTTTTATAAATTTAAGAAAATTATTTTTCTAATTTTTATGTAGATCTTTATACAGATTTTTACCAAAAATCTAAGAATATACCTTAGAGGTTTTTTTTATTTTGAATATCACTTATTTCTCTTAAGAGAAAGTAAATAAGTCATAAACTTTGTTCTTCTCTCCTACTTAAATTATTACTAAACCTTAGTGAATACAAGTAAAACACTGGAAAACCTGCTTTTTGAAACTGTGTTTGCAGTAATTCAAAATAATATGTTTTGTATTTGCACACTTTAAAATTTTATTCTGATTCTATTAATGCTATATTTAATACTGAGGTACTATTTACATTGATGTGATACCATAATTTGTCTAGTGCTAGTCAGGAAAATGAAATCCTTTATGAGTTTACATGGAAACCTGATCAAAATCATGTGTGTATATGACACAGGTACATTCTGTAGATTTATTTGACCTCATTATGTAAACTTACTTTTAATAAAATTAGTAGGAAGGAAATAAAATCTCACAAGGGTATTAGGAAGAGCAAAATATAATGTTAGCATATTTGATTATTCATTAAGTTTACTGTCTTCCTCATCTGGAATGACATACACTGCCCAACATTTATTTTCTACACATTGTAGTAGACTATAGAATTAATTAAAGGGTAGTCTGCCTGCTACCATTTTTAACTTAGAATGGATCATTTAGGGAAATGCAGGGCCAAAAAAATGCTAATAATGATTATTTACCAACAATATAATGGAGCAAAACAGTGAAACACTCCTCCATAGAGAATTTTTTTTTAGAGCAAACAGAGGAAGGAAAAAAGTCAGAGAGAAAAAGATGTGTCAAGGAAAGACAAGAGAGAGCTGCTTAACCTCCTGGGATTTCTCTTGTGAGAGGCGATTATTTGTATTGATTTTAGTTTGCAAGTTCTCTTTTTCCTGCTCTCTACTGGCCCACTATGTAATCCATAAATAATAAATAGTGAAGCAGTGAGTCATTCTTTAGACTGCAAGCATAGCAACCAGCAGCACACATTAATCCACCAGTTGAGCACCATATCATGTCCATCATAAAATGCATTTCGAGACTCTAAAACTTCAACTTTCTATTGGCCCCAAGGTTCAAACTAAATAATCTGAGGATTGCAGAATGAAAGGATTCTTCTCCGCCACCTGTGTCAGCTCTTACTATTACTTTTGCTTTAATTTATGCTTTAATGTTTACTTCTTTACCATTAAAATCTGGATTTGGTAGTGAATGTATAAAGCAGGAGCTGTTGTTATTGCATTTAGTAAATTGTTACATATGACCTATTTCTGGGTGATTTTTATGGGAATCATAAAATTTTCTCCAAGTAATATCATTTAGGTTGTTATTTATCACACAAATCTGTGAGAAATGAAGTGCTTCGGGCTATAAGCAGGTAACTAAATGGCTAGTTTATAGGCCCAGTGAAAAGAGGACAAAAGAAGAGACTAAATGTCAATTAAAATACTCTTTAAAAAGTAACATTAATTAATATAATTGTGAATTAATAATAATTCAGTGTGTAATTTCACCCCTGGGACTTCCAGTGCTTCAGAGAAATGGACAGTCATGTATTATCAATTGCACAAGGAATTTTCTCGTTACATGGCAGTGCCATCTTATTTTTAGGATTTTTAAAAAACTTTTTCTGGTAATATAATAAACATCCAAAAAAGTGTTTAATTCATCAGTGTGCACCTCAGTAGATTTCAAAACCTGAATACACTTGCCATTCCGGCACCCCAAGGAAGAGCCAGGAGTTACCAACACCCGAAAGTCTCCAGTTGCCTCGATCCAGATACTTTTTTCCACAAAAGTTGATGTTAATTCACCAAGGCTCACTTGTAAATATTTGCTTTACGTCTGGCTTTCTGTGTGTAAAATAATGTGGTATTTCTCATTTCTGTACAATATTTGATTGCTTAAATATACTGCAATTTGTTTTTCCATCTGATTGTTGATAGACAGTGGGGCTATTTTTAAATTTTAGACTAATATATATAGTGCTATTATAAACATTTTTGTACATATTTTTGTCAAACATGTGTTCTGGGTAATTAGTATGCATATATTCATTTTAGTAGTCATAGGCAAAAAAATTTGTCAGAGTTGTGCCAATTTGGGTTCTTGCTAACAGTTTACGAGCATTCCAGTTGCTCCATACCCTTGCCAATACTTGGTATTGCCAGTCTTTTTTTTTAAGTTATTCTGATAGGTGTAGTAGTATCACATTTTGACTTAATTGGTAATTCCCCAATGTTAATGAAGTTAAACGCATTTTTATATAATTACTGGCCATTTGGGTTTCTAGATTGTTTTGCAAAATGTTCAAGTCTTTTGCTTGTTTTCCTCTCAGACTGTTAGCTTTTCCACTGATTTATGAGTTTTTATGTTGTATATACTAAATGAAGCCAGCTTGTTTTTTTGATCATGTAATAGTGTCTCTTGATGAATGAAAGTTCTTAACTTGAACTTAATACAATTCGTCTTTTTAAATGATTCATGGTTTTTGCAATGGTTCTATGTAAGGGATATTTGTCTTTTCTAAGGTTATAAATACATTCCTTGATATTTTATTCCAAAAGGTGTATTATTTTCTCATTCACATTTAGATCTATAATCCATGTGGGACAGAGATTTTCAGAAGCTATGCTATCTAATTATGCTAAGTACCATAATCTCTGATTAATAATGAAATATCATTTTGTTTCATAAATTTGATTCTAGGATGCCATTTTGTTAATATATCAGTCTGGGCCCAATCAGGAGAGAGATATTATGCAGTAATTTGAAGGGAGAAACTGAAATATAAAGAACTATTCACTGTAACAATAGGTTGGAATAATGAGGGATGTCTAATAAGAAATAACGAGAAATCTAGAGTATAGGAATATCAGATACAAGGAGCATCCACTAAACCTACAGTTGACATGAACACCCAAGGAAAAACTCCACACACACCATCATGCCAGGCTTAGACCCAGGCCTTGTGAGAGATGACATGACCATGGCTCACTCAGCAGGGAATCAGCTGTGATGGATGCTGATGCAACTTGCTGGAAATCCCTTCTAGGGCCTTGGAAGGCTGTTTATAGGAAGCTATCGCCCTAAAACTACTCTTATGCAAAACTACCCAGGGGAGGGTGAGAAAAGTTGCTAACAGATAGTTGTTGCTGCTGTCCTTCATGCACTTCTGATGGAGAAGCCACCCGCACGGCAAGACCCTAATGCTGGACAAGTTGCTCACGGTGCAGGAGCTTGGCACTGGGAAACCACATGCAGTGCAGAAGACTACCAAACAAGCACATCGCAACCAGAAAGGAAAACCCCTTCTTCCCACAGTGTCCTTCGTAAACTCATAACTGCAAGGTCAATTTCTGGTTTAGAAATAGACACTGGGAAGATAGATACCCAGGATTTCTTGATTTGACCCTAATATCAATGAAATGTAGCCATTCCTATAACTCAATTTGGAAGGTAGATTCTCACCACCAGCATGGCCCTTGGCAGGTGACTACTAGACTGTTCTAGTCTTCATCTGATTCTTTAGATTCCCATATAATTCGGGAATGTTCTGGCTCTTCAGGTCCTGAGTTGCAATCACTGGAATCGGCCTCTATTAAAGCATCAGGCACTCTGGACCATATGGATTCCTTACATTCCAGGAGGTGGGTATAACTTCTTCAAATTTATTATGAATTACTAAAAATATTCAGTTTCCAAGGTATCTCTCATAAAGGATAAGAAGTTTAATAAAATCATTAATTGATGCTAGTAACAGCACTTCCCTGCTTACAATCATGCAAAAAATTAAAATACTATTTAAAGAAAATAGACTGATTTACAAATATCATTTCCAGAAATACTTTGAATTCTATGTACATATAGACAACCTGGTTTTAATTTTTTGAGCTTATACTTCAGATTAAGATTTTAATTGCTTTTATGATACTATTACCTCTGCTTTTCTTTCTGTCTTTAACAATTTATTTTCTAGCTTTTTTCTTTATGGTGCTTCCATGTCAGCATTTCTCATTATAACCACCTTTGATTCATTGATTTTTTTTCAAGCATGAAGCTCCTTTTCTTTAAAATTCCATCTATTTCTATGGCTTCAAGTGTCATCTCTTTGTAAAATGTGTAGGTCTATATCTTCAACTCTGATGTCAATCTTGATTCTGGAGTCATAAATTTCTAACTACCAGTAAAGGAGTTATGTCTTATTGCATTTGCCAGCAACTCAGATTCAGCATAACCACAATCATTCCTGCTAAATGTGTTTGTATCTCGAATTCAAAATTTCTGTTAGTGGCACAATCAGTTGTCTACTTATCTAGCTCAACATTTTCTAGCCTTTTATGATTAACATTTGATCTTCACCTTCAACCACTTCCTAGCTCATAACATCCATTACATTTTTAAGTTTCCAAATTTTTAAATGTATACTTTCTTTTATCCTATACTCTCATTCTCATTACATATGCACTAAAAACTACAAGGGCACACAAAAAAAGCAACATATGGTGTTAGCAATAAATGACTTGCCTTTTGAGGGATTGGAATAAAGGCTAAAGGAGTTTATGAGTCTACAGTCTATTATTAATGAATCTGAAATATGTAATAAACTGCCATTGAATTTGGAGTATATTAATAAACCCTAGGTCGGCATTCAAGTGTAGATTGCAAGAGGTACCATTCTAAATGGTAGAAACACAGGCTAAGCCTAAAAAAGAGTTGGAGAGAATAAAGACCTCATCAAGAACCTTAGTTTAATGAGACAAAGCAAATAGAAGGCAGGGAAATTTAAATTTGGAAGACACTTTAAGAGTATTATAAAACCAAGAAGGAAGACCTAAACATATTTAATGTTCATGAGGGGTTTGACAGGAAAATTCTCATGATGGGGAGAAAGGTAGCTACGAAGAAGAGGACAACAAAAAATTACCGAGATATTAAGGCCAAAACAAATAATTACATGTTAAATTATAGAATATAAGAATAAGTCATTGTAAGTCACAGATACATATTGAATCACAATTGGTCTTTAAAAAAAAGGTCTGTGAATGGTTTAGGGTCCATATTTTCCTTTTGTTTAATGCCTTAGGGCAGTTTTTAAGATACCATTGGGAGCTGCAAAAAAAAAAAAAAAATGAAAAAATATGTAACTACAAGAAACTAGATTCCCAGGAGGATAAATGAGATCTTAAGGTCAAGCATAACTCCAGAATTCTATGAATGCCTAGAGTCTTTCATTTACTTCTCTGTGAGTTGTCTCCTGAACTTATGTAAGAATTATTTATCTTTCTTTTTCAGAAGTGGGAACTGAAAGTAACGTAAAGTACTTTACCAAAATATAAAAGCAGTTCAATAATAAAATTGTGACAGGAGTTCTAGAGTCCCTGTTAAATTGATAACATTGTGAAAATTAGATGTGGTATTACAGAAAATTTCAAATAAGTGGTTCTATGCATCTGTTCATACCTTATTAGATTGATATAATATTAAAATAAAATTATGTCATTCTTAATACAGTTATTAGGTTCCTTTTTTTGGGATACAAAAACCTCTTAATATTCTAAAGAACAGTGCCCAGTAATATACACATTAACCATAACATTTAAAAATTATATATATTAACAGCCTATTTGACCTCAGTAATTATTGTTCAACAAATATTTATTTAGTTCAT
This sequence comes from Homo sapiens, assembly GCF_000001405.40. Lineage (NCBI taxonomy): Eukaryota > Metazoa > Chordata > Mammalia > Primates > Hominidae > Homo > Homo sapiens. The sequence goes on along the minus strand of NC_000004.12, from coordinate 179,764,467 downwards.
ATTGTATTCACAAAACTATGCGTGACTCTGAAGACTATAAAGATATATTATACTATAATGGGTCAGAGTTTGGTTTTCAGTCTCATGGCCTGGATAGGAAACCTTGCATAATCACATATTTGTGTAAAGTGGAAGCAATAATTTAACTTCTTTCCTCATCTGTGAAATGTGGATTATTTCATTAAGTTATTGTGTTAAATGACTTTACATGTTATGAGGGTACTAGAACAGCATCTCACACATAGTTATTGCTCAATAAATATCAGTTCCTATGAATAAGAGGTACTGTAGCAAATAAAGATGGTGTAAGAAACCAGAGCCATGTTCCATGACCTTGTGCTGTCATGCTATCAAAAGTATGATTATTTGTTATTCTGAAGTTTTAGAAAAATCATCCTGGGACTGAGTTGAGAAAACCTCTATGTGTAGAATCAAAGGAGAAGAAAAATAATTATTCTGGGAAGAAATATGATCAAGATGCAGGTAGTAGCTGTCAGCCAGTTTAAAAAATGGCCTCAGGGCCAGGTGCAATGGTTCACACCTATAATCACAGCATTTTGGGAGGTCAAGGAGGGCAGATCACTTGAGGCCAAGAGTTCTCAAGACCAGCCTGGCCAACATGGTGAGACTCCTTCTCGACTAAAAACACACACACACACACACACACAAAACAGCCAGGCATGGTGGCGGGCACCTGTAGTACCAGCTACTTGGGAGGCTGAGGCATGAGAATCGCTTGAACCCGTGGGGTAGAGGTTGCAGTGAGCCAAGATCATGCCACTGCACTCCAGCCTGGGCAACAGAGCAAGACTCCATCTCATAAAAAAAAAAAAAAACAGCCTGAGGAATCTCTCTTTCTCTCTAATCATCTCTATCTATGTATCTATCTAATCTATCTAATATCTAGCTATCTCTATCTCTTATCTATCTGTCTATCATCTATCTATCTGCATATCTCTCTCTCTCTATCAACCAACTGGGGCTTCTTGGCTTTCCTTACATGTTTTTTCACTTCACATCTGTCCTGACAGAAGCATCCCTTTTCCTGTGGTAGAAAAAACCTCTGGGCACATAGTCATTATGTTAAAAGAGACCACTGATTAAAGGGAGAGTTCTTGGAGGGAGAATACGGATTATTGATAAATTTCCAATGATTACCACTCCTTTGACATATGTGCTACTTACAATGAGGTAAAGAAGCATTTATATTTTTGAAGTACTAAGGAGGCTGAGGAGTTGAGCCACTCTCCTTTCAGCTCATGATGTGTTTCCAAGTTTTTCTTCTTGCTCCTACAATGTGAGTCTGTGGTCCATGTTACTGCATCACCTGGGCATAGTATTGTTTGTATTTGCAGCAATATGGACTCTGAGTATAACAGAGGAAACTGCCAGGCGAGTATAAACAGGACAAAGTCATCTTACTTTCTGTTTCTATCCTTTCTGGTACCCGAAACTGCCTTATCTGGCTCAGTACCTGAAAAGCAATCCGTGTTAGAATGCAGCGTTTTCTCAGATGGAAAAACGTAAAAAGGGGCTTGTCTGTCTGTAAGTCAGACACACACTTATATCACTACACATCCCTGCCAGTTTCATGAAGAAAAACTTAAAAAAGAGAATAGGTTCTTATTTTAAGGCTAGATTAGAACATGTACTCCAATCATTTTATGGTAGACTATTAATGATTCCTGGTCCATAACATTGTAATTGGAATAGCAGATGATATGGTTTGGCTGTGTCCTCACCAAAATCTCATCTCGAATTGTAGCTCTCATAAATCCCACATGTCATGGGAGGGACCCAGGGGGAGGTAACTGAATCATGGGGGCTGGTTTTTTCCATGCTGTTCTCATGATAGTGAATAAGTCTCATGAGATTTGATGGTTTCATAAAGGGCAGTTCCTCTGCACACACTCTCTTGCCTGCCACCATGTAAGATGTGCCCTTGCTTCTCCTTTGCCTTCCACCATGACTGTGAGGCCTCCCCACCCATGTGGAACTGTGAGTCCATTAAACTTCTTTCCTTTATAAATTACCCAGTCTGAGGTATGCCTTTATTAGTAGTGCAAGAACAGAATAATGTAGCAGAGATGACCTCAGTTTATAGTTTTCTCTTCATGGATTCTGAGTATATTTTCCCTGAATATCTAGTGGGAAAATCTGAAAACCTCATTCTGTTTATGTGAAGTCTTGGTATGCATAGAAAGATGAGACTTGGCCTGAAACTATTGACTGTACAGTGACCTAACATAAATGCTCAAGTCAAGACCGGAAACATTTTAAAGGAATAAAAAGTCTATACAGTTGTTCACTCGCTATTGCTTCTTCTGAATATTGAGCCCTGATATTCTACTCTGGTTTGCCTACCTTTACAGGTACAATATGAGTTATATTGTTAGGTTTTTCTGTTCTGCTTTTGAAGTCCAATGAAGTCACCCTTTATGCCAGCCTTAAATTATTTCACACAGCATTTGATTTTCTGACCTTTGAAGATGTCAGAAACCCCTAGGTTGGATTGCCTCAATAAAAGAGTCAGCCTTCTTGGCACTATCATTAAAGTTTCTGATCCTTAGGAGAGCCTACGTAAGAGACGACGGACACCCCGACAACTTGTCAAAAGAAATTTGTCACTCCAGTAGAAACTGTCATACCAGTATTAACGGAACTAATGCTTGTCTTCAATAGAAATCTGTTTCACAAAAACCAACCATCAATTTCCCATACTTTAAGGCTTACCAAAAAGTAAAAGTGAAGTAATAGTTTCTTCAAGTAACTCTAAATTTGCAAAAGGTAAGAGCATAGAATTATTTGCATTTAAAATGAATCCTTGTTTAGTGATAGACACTGAATAAATACTAATATTTTACCATGAGTAAGTAAGAAAGTCAGCTTTAACACTAATGTGATTTTTTTATGCTTAAGAATGCATCTTCCTTTGCCAGGCATGGTGGCTCATACCTGTAACCCCAGCACTTTGGGAGGCCGAGGTGGGCAGATCACTTGAGGTCTGAGGTTCGAGACCAGCCTGGCCACCATGGCAAAACCCTGTCTTTACTAAAAACACAAAAATTAGCTGGGCGTGGTGGCAGGTGCCTATAGTCCCAGCTACTTGGGAGGCTGGGCAGGAGAATAACTTGAATCCAGGAAGCGGAAGTTGTAGTGAGCTGAGATCTCACTACCGCACTCCAGCCTGGGCGACAGAGCAAGACTCAAGTCTTGGGGGGGGGAAAAAAAGAAGAAAATATCTTCCTTCAAAAAATGTGAACTTTTGTAATTTACACAAACATTGAATTAGTCTGGTATTTTGGTGACTTTCTTTCAGTCCATGAAGAAGTAACTCCTATTAGAATTATTCTTCCACTAAAAACAACTAAAATTCGGAGAAAATATAGGAAACTTGAGTTCTAAGTCACCGGACAGCAGGCCCTGCAGCATTGTAATCCTGGAGAGAGTGAATCCTATGATCGTTTTGCTTTCTGCTTGGGGAACAATTTAAAGACTGTAGTGTGGGGAGGGGAAAACCAAACCAAGCTCAGCAAGTCTACTTGCATTAAGGAAACTGAAATTGATGTTCAAGGAGGTTTGGGGCAGCTAGAATTTTGGAGTTAAAATACCCGAGAGGAAACAACTCCACAGAGAAAAACAATTCCGGAAATTAAAGGTCTGTGAGACTTTGGCTAAATGCCAATCAGCATGTGCCCTCAATTAAATTCCATAAAGACTATAGCAAGAAAAATTTAGAGAAAGAGCAATTCCCAGGCTAACACAAAACTTCAGCGTTTGGAAGGCCAGAAGGGTCAGAATCTGCTGAATACCAGAGGTACACAGTAAAGAACACAGAATACTTGGACCTTAGCAGTAAGACTAAAATAGGCCTAGTCTGAAAATAAAATGCTCCTGTACCCCACCAAAACACGAACGAATAAATAACTTAAAAAAAAAGAAGCTAAAACTAATTGTGTGTGGTGGAATTCTCTACTAGAACAGAGTTCAGCAAACTGGAAAGAATATAACAAAATCCAGCACTTAACAGTTCAGAATGAACAATGTTCAACATCCTTGCTAAAACAGCAGAAAATATGACCCATATCAGGAGAAAAATCTGACAATAAAAAATAAATAAATGGCAAGGATGATGGAAATAGCAAAGACTCTAAAAGAGATGTAAAATAAAATATACATAATGAAACTTCTCTAAATGGGATTTAAGTGGATTCAATGAAATAACTGGAGAAATTGAAAACAATGTAACATAAAATATCCAAAATGAAGCACGAAGAGAACACAGTGAAAGAAAGAAAACAAAGTGAACATAAATGGCTTATGAAATAATAACACACATGTAATTGAAGTCTTAGAAAGGGGTAGGAAGCAGAAAATATATTGGAAGAAATCATATCTGAAAATGTTTCAAATTTGATGAAAACCCCAAACCTAGAGAACCAAAAACTAGTGCAAACTGCAAGCAATACAAAAACTAACAAATAATACACAAAGTCACTTTATAATCAACTTATTGAGAACAAATGATAAAGCAGAAAAGAAATGCACACACACACACATAAGATATGTAATGAGAAGCAAAAATGAACATTTTCACAAGTCTCTTTTAAATTTAGGCAAGCTTTAAAATACTGAAAAAAGTTAACTTAAAATTATAAAACCAGCAAACTCTAACATGAAGGCAAAATAACGATAAGACAAAAAATCTGTATGATTTATCAATATTTATCTGCAGACCTGAGCTATAAGAAATTCTACCTCAAGTTTTTCAGGCTGAAGGAAAATGACGCCAGATGGAAACGGATCTATGCAATAAAGAACACAAAAATGGTTAATTTATGAATAAATATAAAATATTTTATATTTTCATTTTGTTTGAAATATAATTGTTTAAACCAAATATAACAGATACTTTGGGGTTTACAATGTGTAGAAGTAAACTATGTGACATAGTGATAGGAGAAGCAATGCACCTAGATAATTGTGGTACTTATGTGTAAAGTGTTGTTATAGTTTATAGAAATAGGCTACACGCTTAATGTAAATCCTACAATTAAACACTACAAAATATTTTTTAAAAATCAAAGTACCATAAGCAAACATTCCAACAGTGAATATAAAATGCCATCCTAAAAAATAAACTCAGGAAAAGAGGAGTAAATGAACAAAGAACATATAAGAGTTTTAAAAATCTCCATATCTACAGATACATCCCAATATATGGAAAATTATTTTAAATATAAATGGTCCAAACGATTAAAAGTTAGAAAACATAAAAATGAGTAAACATACAAGTTCCAAACCGTTCTTTCTAAAATAAGTTCATTTTCAATACAATGAAACTAACTAGTTAAGAGAAAGCAAGTACAATTTACTTAAGGAGACTCGATAACAAGATTAAAATGTAAAATTAATGACAAAATAATGATATGATATATATTCTTAGTTTTAAGAAAGATGATAGGGCTAAACTAATTTCAAACTGGACTTTATAACAAAAACTGGTACCAGGGATAAAGGGGGCATTCCATATTACAATAGGAGTGAATGTATTTGCAATATAAAGATATTTTTCAATCCTAAATATGTATTAACAGAAAACAGAGATTAAAAAAAGAAGAAAAGGCAAAATCTGACACTCCAAAACACAATAGACACAACCTTATTGTCTATTTGTCAATAGACAAATCCTCAATTATTCTTCTAGATTTTAATGTTTTCCTCTCAATAGGCAGGGAATATTCAACAAGTTAGAGCATAAAACAAGTCTCAACACATTTCGAAAATTTGATCGGATGAAAACATTACTCTATGATTTTAATAAAATTAAATTAGAAATTAATTAGTTGGAAATCAAACAACACGATTTAAAATAAACCATGTGTTACAGAAAATTAGAAAATACTTTCAACTTAAAGTCAGAATATATTAAACTTTGTTGTAGGAGGCTAAAACAGTACTTAGAGGGAAATTTGTAGTTTATGAGATTATACTAGAAAAGAATACAAGTTTTAAAATCAAGGATCTAAGCTTCAACCTGATTAAACTAAAAATAGAAGAAAAAATTAAAGTCAAAATTAGCATAATAATTAATAAAGATAAAACTATTAATAAATAAATTATGAAGAAGAGAAAAACAATTATGACAAGAACAGGAAAACAATAAATCTAAAAGCTAATTGATTAAAAATAATCAATATTATTACACTTCTTGTTAGACAAACCAAAAAAATTAATAACAATTGCTGAAAAATAACACAAAAAAGAGGGGGCATCACTATAGGTCCCATGGAGATTAGAAGATTAGGGGATACATTGAATCATTTTTCAGCAAATTTAACTTTATTGAAGTAGAAAAATTCCCTGAAAAACCCAAATAACAAATAATCAAGAAAAATATAGCTCCTGAATTTTTCTATATTATTTAAAGAAATTATATTTTAATGTAAAATATTCTCACAGAGGAGATTGAATAACCCATCCTAGAAGCAATCAGTAAGTGTTGCAGCCAAGATTCAAGCAGTCTGACCACAGTCTGTGATATTAAATCCTAGGCTATGCTGCTATGAATTGTCCACAGAAAGTTTAAGGGTTATATTGATAAAAATAAGCCATAGGCCAAGAAACAGATAAGAAACTTTATTACTCTAAACAGAGCTCTCTTCGGAAAAAGAGGGAGGGGCAACAGAGAGCATTAAATATTGCTGAGTAATAAAAGCAACTAATCTAGTGTAACCAGAAAAGAAATAGACTACCTCTGACTTATTTAGAAAAAAAAATCATATAGTTGTTCATTTTTCCTAACATCTGATATTTTGAATATATTAAGATTTCATTCATGATTAAAAATAAGTTGAAGTTACTTCATTCAAAAATGCATAAAGAAGGGTTGAGGCTGCTGAGTTATGTTAGATGAGAGCAAGATGCAAAAAGAGCAGATATAATTTATAATAAAAACAATTTATTTATACAATTTATAATAAAAATTTCCAAGAGAGACCATGAGGCCCAGCAGAGCCAAGAGGAACAATTTAGGTTGACCAAGCATCACATACAGCATTGTATTTTTCCAGTTTGCTCTATGTAGCTGTCTTAGTGTATTTGATGTCCACCTGCTGTGGTTTGGTGGTGCATAATGAACAAGTTGGGAAACTTCATATCTGAATTAATATAATTTCTACATTAAAGTGACATCATTCCCTATTTGATAATAGTATAAACTATTTGTATTACACAAACATGTTATTGCAAAACAAATAATTCTAATTTAAGCCAAACCATCTGATGTTAATCAGAGATAAAGAGAAATGATATGCTTGTCGTAGTCACCTTTGGAACTTAGCCTTTCTAAGCGGCTAATTCCACCTCAAATTTGAATTCCTAGAGAAAACAACTAAGTGGAATTATGGCTTATTTTAAATTACCCAGTTTAGTACTAAAATAACATTGCCTATGCCTAAATATTTTAAAGTAAATTGCAGACAACTAATTTAAATGCTAGTTCGAAGTTGTAAGCCAAAATTAAATTGAATATCATTTCAAATATTTCTTAGTTTTGCATGGTAGAAATATGAGAGCATGCATTTTTCCAGCAACATCTAAAGTCTTTAATATTAATCTATATATATATTTGTATACTTTATTATCCCATCAAGTTTAAAAAATATTTAGAGTTAGAATTTTAAAGGCCAGGCGTGGTGGCTCACACCCGTAATCCCAGCATGTTGGAAGGCCAAGGTAGGAGGAAGACTTGAGTTTGGGAGTTCGAGATCAGCCTGGCCAACATAGTGAAAACCCATCTCTACTAAAAACACAAAAATTAGCTGAGCATGGAGGCACGAGCCTATAATCCCAGTTACTTGGGAGATTGAGGCAGGAGAATTACTTGATCCCGGGAGGCAGAGGTTGCAGTGAGCTGAGATCACACAACTGAACTCCAACCTGGGTGACAGAGTGAGACTCCATCTCAAAAAAAAAAAAAAAAAAAAAATTAAAAGACAATTACATAAATATATATATGAAATGGAAATGAAAATTCTATTCTATTAAATGATCAATTTGGTTGGTAGCAGAAAATATATAAAATAGGCAAAACAATTTAGGTTATGTTTACATTTGAGCCCACATATGGGCTATATGAATGTTATTAATTTTTGTTTTAAGAAGTAATATAAACATATTTGGCATTATATATTACATACGATATATACTATATACAGTATATTACAATATATACTATATAGTATAATATATAATATATATTAAATATAATTTAGCCTTGTTAGAATATCAGTTCTGTAACTTCAATTTAAGATGCAAAATTTAGCAATTTATTTGGTTAATTATTTTAAGTAAAATCTTATTCAATTTATACTCATTATTGGAACTAAAACTTCTTCGGGTACACTACTTTATGAATGAGATTTATAAAATTTATAAAAATTATTTAACAATCAGCTTTCCCACATTGCCGCTTCCCTCATTATTGAATTCAAGAAATCCTTGGCACATGCTTAGTTTACTTTTGTAAGAAAATTACACTTTCAACTATTTAAAAATTACCTTTGACAGTTGTTGGACATCCTATTGAAATGCCTATGAGGATTCGGCTGCTGATGCCGTTAAAATGGTCTTGGTTAAGATGTAGAATTCTTAGGCTCAGATACTTTTTTTGGTCTCTGAAATGAATCCTAAGTAATGATGAGACTACCTCCAGCAACTGTTTTTTTCCTATCATTTCTTCTGGTTCTGCTTCTTTTTTTTTTTTTTTTTTTTTTTTTGGCTACCGTTTCTGATAGTGGCCAAATTTGAATCTAATCTGGCTTCCTCATGGCCATTTCCCTAGTAATGGCTGAGAATGTGGCTTCATTGTCTGGCTAATCTACCATCTCTGTCTTGAAGCAATACAGATCTCTTCTCTGGCAGGCAAGAGGTGACAAGGAATCTGCTCCCCAGTCATTTGTGTTGATGCAATATCATGTCACACTGGAAAAGAGACAGCATTTTGAAATCTCAACTGGAGTGATTTTTGTGTTTTGTGTTCACTTTGACTATGAAGTTGTAAAAGCAAATATGAATCTCTGTATGTTTTGTGTTTCTATAATTGAGAAAAAAACTTTTATTTCTCATTATGTGAATTGGAAATATTTCCTAGCTCTGGAATATTTCAATAAATTACACTATAAGACTTCTTAAATAAAATTGCTGTTTTAATTGCTTTGCAGAACTATAGGTTTATATATATATCAAATATAGAGGAACACAAATATTCCTGGAAAAATGTAAACTAAAATGTATATGCTAGCTATAAAAGTAGAAAAATTATTCTCACAAATACTGTCAGCTCAAAAGTAGTTTTTTGTTGTTGTTTTGTAACCATCTCTCACTTTTTAGATATATCAATCCATATTTATCTAAACTAAATAAATCCCTAGGCAAATCTCTGGTTTTATCCATGACGTATAAGGCAGGAATACTTTCCATATTTTTTAAAATATAATTTGCTTTTTGAAAATGACAAGACTAAATAATCTGAGCTTATACAACTTCTTATTTACTCACCAGATAAGTTAATGTTACCTCCATACAATGCTTACAATTAGGAAAAATGTAAACTTGTGTTCCATAAAATTTGAATTATGATTCTGAAATTTTCAGTATCGAGTAATTATATTATGTAACGTGTCATATTAAATTTCTAAGATGAGATAAATTTGCAACTTTGCACTGATAGTGATAGATTTAACTGATGAATAAATTAAGAATACCTGGATAATTTTCAAGTAAGACTGACTATTAAAACATTGGTTACTAAGCATTACACACACGTACACACACATACAAACACACGTGTATATACGTATATAATCTCATACATTGTATATTTTTCTCATATTTTATATTAAAAAATCATTATGCCTCCGGGTTATTTTAACAAGTGTGCTTTTATTTTTTACCTGTTTAAATGATGTGACTGGTACGTACGTGGCTGTGGGTCGTTACTATCTGTGCTCATGAACTTTGCTGGCCTCTGAAATCCTCATATTTTAGAGACAGTTCTCAGTTGTCAAAATTGTAACAAAATAAGAGTTACTGACTTTGCTTAAAAGTTAAGCTAGTGTGAGTTAGACTATATTAGAAGCTGCACAGAAACACATGTATGCAGAGTAAGGAATGTACTTTTTCATAAAATTTGAATGGAATTAGGAGGTTGTAGAAGATTTGCATACAAATAGGAAACTTCATTCACCTTCATTTATAATAATGACAAACAATGAGTCTGAAAAGACAATAAATTGGGCTAAATTTTAGCCCGTGTGCTCAATTTTGATAGAGTTGTTCGTTTAAAGAATATATGAATACTTAATGATACAAATCATAATAATGAAAAATTAAAATTTTGTTTTTTGCTTATTGAAATGATAAATTGGTGTTAGAACATCCAGTCTGCTCATAACAAAGGATAGTAAAAGTTGATCTGTCCCCTTTCTGCAATCTTTTTAGTTGACAGAAATTTTGTATCTCACCAGAGTAACTTTCTATGCTTTATGCCAACTTTTTAGTATCTTTGATTATTTAAAATAATTGAGTAAAAGTTTCTCACTTCTGAAAGAAAGGAATAACATTTATTATGATGGCGATACTTTCTTATATTTGTAATTTTAGATATTATACTGTTCCTCATATTTATAGGTAATAATCTAAAACCTTTCATTGCTTTCAAAAAATTATATTCTATTATTTTAATCACATTAACCACATTAATGCTTGTAATTTTGTCCCCTAAAATAATTCCTAAATTAAAAAAAGAAAAAAAAAGTCAAGATGTTTTTTACATTTAAGCTGTATTTAAGATTTCCAGGTGGGTCTCTGGAAAACCAAATATTATTTACCATTAAAAGTAATGGCAGAAACCAATTACTTTTGCACCAACCTGATAAAAAAGAGGAGTGCTAGAAATTATTTTTTGGTATGCTCCATGTTTCTACTTAGTTCAACAACACATTGGCTAATTTATGAAAAGAGCAATCACATTAAAAGGGAAACTCACCCTCTTTTAGATCAATTTTGCTCAGGCAAATTATTATTACTATAAGTATGTTACAGAAGTTGTGGATTTCAGAGGAAGGTCCTGAATATTTAGTAGTAACCTTGTGTTCATTAAACGTTTCTCATTCTTTCCAGAAAACACTAATCAATTTGTTTTGAACCAACTATTTATTGTACGTATGATAAAGTATTTTTATGTTTCTTCACTCTTGAGGTTTTTGGTTACTGTAATAAATTAAACACAGTCATCAAGTCTTATTATCTATAAGTGGTTTCTGTTCTTCTCTCATGCTTTTCAGAGGCTCTGCTAAAAGCTACAGCAGGCTAGACATTTGCTCTGCTACAAAGGTCAGTCTCAGAGCTTCATGGATAGAACTATGTTAGCGAGTCTTAACTATTAATACTTCAAGGAAAGACTAATAATACTGGCTTCTGGGCTGATATAACGTAGACAAATGTCAGAGTGTGACACAGGACTGAGTCAACAATTACAGAACTTATTTTTATACAGATGCAGAAGATTTCATAAAAGTAAACTATAGGCCCAAAATCTCTTAGAACAAAAAATCAACAAAGTAAGAAGGAGAGAACTGAAAAAGAAAAGTTAATAATGGTTATTTGTTTGGTATACTGTTGATGTTATTTTGAAAGCTCTTTTATCCCCTTTGATGATATTTAAGGAAATCAGGAACGAACACTTTTCTGATTTTTTTCACATTCAATGGCACTGTGGTGATTTAATTAATACGACAAGCATCAGTCCCCTGCTTTGAAAATCAGGATGCAATTTAACAAATCAATTGTTCAAATTGTGTTTGAATTTTCTGGAGTGTCATATTTGAGAATAAATTTTATTTACTCAGGTGTTAAAGCAAACCATTAAAAAGCAAAGGCTGTACTTTTTGTCTGGAACCAATGACTAGAAAGCCCTCGTAGGCAAATGGTCTGGTACAGCTCTGTAACTAACAGTGTCCCAGCCTTACACGTCAGAGGATAAGTCATTTTCTATCAGGTAAATTACTTAGCAGATTTTAGAGGGGGATTTCAAACACGTTTATTGATACTGCAGATAAAATTTGTTGAAAATGAATTTCTGGGGTTTGGTCTCATATGCATTTAATATAAGAGCAAATATTAATACTACTACTATGAGCTAATAAATCCCTAGAACAATAAAGCATATTAAAAATCCAATCCCCAGTTTCTTTCAAAATCTCTAAATAGAAATTACCTTTTTGGTCTTAGTTATTTAACACTATGTGACTTTTGATTTGCTGACCGTATTACAAAGTATGTCAACCAGCACCTTCTGCTGCACATATGTAAACAAATCAGACCAAAACACAGTGAGATCAGGCAACTTTTTAAATAAAAATGAAAATCTTCCAAAAAAGAACAAGATCACATCCTTTGCAGACACGTGGACGGAGCTGGAAGCCATTATTTTTAGCAAGCTAATGCACGAGCAAAATACTAAATACAACATGTTCTCACTTGTAAGCGAGAGCTAAATTATGAGCACACATGAGCTCAGAGAGGGGAACAATGTGCACTGGGGCCTATTGGAGGAGAGAGGGTGGGAGGAGGGACGGGATCAGGAAACACAACTAATGGGTACCGGGCTTAATACCTGGGTGATGAAATAATCTGTACAGTAAATCCTCATGACACAAGTTTACCTATATAACAAACCTGCACATGTATCCCCGAACTTAAAATAAACGTTAAAAAAAATCTTTAGAGATTGGTTGAAATCATTAGGAGTGGTACACTAAGGAAAAAAAATCCAAAACTTGGAAATAGGCAAAGGGAGAACTATCATTTTGTGTCATTGCCTAATAAGAGATCCAAATATCCAAATATTATCTCATTCTTTATAAGTACGTATTCTTGTTTTACTTATCATTTACTATTGATTAAGGCATTTTACAACTCTGTAAGGATAAAGATTAACTAGTTGAAAAGAAATAGCCAGGCAACAGATTCTTGTCTGAGAGTGACATAAGTGAATTTTGTCTTACAGACATCCAAATAACCTCTGTCCAAGAGAAAAGATCAGAACACAAAGTCATAGCTGCATTGCCCTGTTGTGTATTGATCAATTTTTTAAGTTTACATTTTTATTCCAGGTTTTTTCTGTCAGTAATTATGTATACTTCTATATATCCTACACTGTTTTGAAACAACTTCATCATCTTGCTATTTCCTTCCTTAAAGAGTTAAACACAGTTTGACAAGAGATAATTTAAAAATAAATATTAATGCTCAAGAAGGCTCTGTTTGATTCATTTAGTGCTTTAAATAGCAATCTAAACTCTAAGTGCAGTTAGAAATGTAAAAGGTGTTTAATTAACTAAACCTTTAAAATGAGACCAAGTATTTTTCAAAAGTCTTTAAAGCAAAGGTTAAAATTTGATATGTTTAAAAATGTTTTTAAATTGCTGGCTGAACTTAAAATCTAAACAAGAATTGTTAAGTTTTGTATCGTATTAGTAGCTTTGTCAATAAGAGGGCATTATTAGCAGACCAAATGAGGCCGCAAACAAGACTCAACCATTGGTACAGACCTAGAATTTGTTCAGTTAATTTTGCTATAAAATTCTTTAAACATCTTTACATTGTTGAACGTCTACTTTTCTCACCATCTCCTGCCATGTGACTTTGTCTCTCAAATGACCAACGCTATCTCTGTGGCAGTACATTACATCTGTCTCCAAACACCGTCGTAAATCATCATACAACACCCAGCATGTAGTCTAACAACCTTTATCTTAAACTCACCAGTGAGCCTGCTATACCAGGCATCATGCCAAACCTTATATATCAAGCAGTTCATAGAAGAAGCAACTCAGAAGGAGTCACAAAGGGGATGTAATAAAAGCCCGCTAATCCTACAGTCTGTCAGAACTGCCCTTTTCTGCCTCTCTCACATGGTTTTCTTACATCATGGTGGGACCAGCTGTTGCTCCTGACCACAGAGAGAACTAGTTACCCAAAAGAGACCCCTGGCCTTTTCTCAAAATGCCAAGCTATGTGGACATAACTGTTCCATGTAAATACATGTAAAAGAGCATCTCTGGCCGGATGTGGTGGTTCACACCTGTAAAATTCCATCACACCTGTAATCCCTCACCTTTTGGGAGGCCATGGCAGGAATATTGCTTGAGCACAGAAACTCAAGACCAGCCGGGGCAACATAGTGAGACTCTGTCTCTACAAAAAAATATAAAAACTTAGCCAAGTGTGGTGGCACACACCTATGGTCCCAGCTACTTGGGAGGGATGAGACAGGAGGATCACTTGAGCCCAGGAAGTGGAAGCTGCAGTAGGCCATGATTGCACCACTCCAGCCTGGGTAACAGAGAGAGACTCTGTCTTTAAAAACATACAAACAAACAAAAAAAAATCTCTAAAGTCAAAGGAACAAGGAAACTCCTGATATGCTCCAATCTATCAAAGACCTACAGATCTTATGCACTTAGTATATATCCTTCCATGAATGAAAATTTACCATATTCAGAAAATACAAACCTGGACTTTCCCTCCCTTCTTTCCCCTGATTTGGAACTGACAGACCAACTGTCCTGGGTCCCCATGCTGAATTTTCCTCTCTGAGCCATAATTCTCTGCCTTCAGCCTCCTTTTTCTGTATTCCGATTTTCCCTTTCTTCTATCCCCAGGATGTAATACTCATATTCTGTCTTTTTCTTGCCATCAGTAACTCATTAAGACACTCATATCTGAGCTGTATATATTCTTCTCCACTTCTTCCTGTATGCATTATAACAGTAAATTATAATCTTAATCTCAAATTTAGGTCTTGTGGTGTTTTTCTTTTTCCTTCAATACCACCACAGTTTTCAATGAGGGACATTTTCAGATTTTGAAGGGCGTTTTTTTTCAGTTTGTTTTGTTTTGAATCCTCTTTCTTTCTTCAGTACTCTGTAATTTGGCCCAGGCTCACAGAATTGAGTGGAAGACCCTGAAGACAGATAATACAGTCAGTCATAAGAATCCAGCCCACACATCCTGCTTAGTATTTATTTCATTCTAGTGGTAACTCCTTTGAGGTCAGAGACCATGTATTCCATTATTTTTATATCTTACAGACCACCTAACTTAGAGATTGTCACAGGCTAGACAAATACAAAGCATACCATCAGTGAATAATTGATTGATTCTGATACCCTAATACACATCCGTATTTGCTTCCGGGAAGTAGTTTAGTTGTTCAAGGATCAAGTTCTAGAATGAATAATTAATCATTTATCAAATGCCTCCAAAAGGCAAGGTCAAAAGCGATAGAAAGGATGAAAGCCATTAGGAGATTGTTGATATGCACACTAATTCATTTCAGAAGTGTCAGTTTGCATTTGTTGGTGGTTAGTCTATGGAGCACTGAAGATTGCAGCTTTATCAGAAGACGCACTTTTCAACACCTCATGACTAGAAACTAGATAGGAATTGAGCCCCGTATACTATGTGAAATTCTTCCTCTGCTGATTTCCTGAAGGATATTTTCTTGTTACTTACCTATTTAAGGTGATTACGTATTTCCCATCTATAGAAGAGTCTGCTAGTGACCTCTCAGTTATCTATTCTCCCCTTCTTCCAAGCCAATAGAAATTTTAGCTGAGTATAAAACTGGCCAGAATAGTGCAACATTATCCATTCACCTTTGTAATCAGGTATATTACTATGACTAAGTTACGTAAATGACATGTGAATGCAAATGAAATATGCGTCTTCTGACTTGTGTTCTTAAATCTAAGGGTTGTTCTTTTCATCCTCTCTGCTGGCTGAAATGCACTTTGCCAACTTGGACAACGCTTGAAGAGAAAAATTGCAGAAATAATGGGGCAGTAAGATAGAAGACGACTGGTCCCTGCGTGCATTTCTCTAACAGAGCCATTATACTGGCCTTGCATTTACTATCTGTGTAGTGTTACATCAAACAAAAACTAAACAGAAAAAAAATCTTTTGTGTAAGCCACTATTGAAATGAGTCCCTCTTGCAAGCAGACAGACGTACACTCTAACTAATTATGGGCAGGTGGATTTTTAAGACCATCAGGATGGCTATTGAATCCAGTGATCATTTATGATAAATGAGAGGCAGCTCTAATGATTGACCCTAGACTTGCCATTTTCCTATACCTGATGGTGAGTTCAGTCTAAAAATATACATTTTTTGTACAGTCATTGTTCTTATTAAAAATTAGTCAAAATCTAGTTCCTTCAATATAAAGTATCTTTAAACCCTTGATAAACTGTATCATGAACAATAAATACTCCTGGTTCTATTCAGCATAATGAAATAGAAATTTATTTACTCATGAAGCATTTGCTGCTGTCGATTTACATACACTTAATTTACTCATACCTGATGAGTTCTTTGTGTTCATTTTGGTCAAAGATCTCATGGTGTTTTTGTGCGGAGCTTGACGAATTATGCAGGAATATCAGAAGCAGTATCTCTATCATTCTAGAAATTGCACAACCTAATCGTTTAAATGGCGTTTACTAGATGCATGTTACTTCTGGGATCAAATCTGCCCTCTTCCATGTGCTGCTTGGTGGCATCATCATTCAGGAGAACTGAGTGCTACCAGAAGATAGTTCCACAATGAGGCCACCTGACTGAAAATGAATTCAGCTTATTTCTTCCTCTGTTCCAGTTGGCTGATTTCCTCCATTCACTGCTTTCCAAGTCAGCCTCGAGAAAGAAGGGGAAAAGCATTTGCTGAATGTAATTAAGGCCATATCATGGTGACTTCGAATATTTAAAAAAAATTTACTTGTTTTGGACCATTTTAAACTTTTTAAAAAATTCATTTAGCCACCCTGATTTAAAAACAACTCTACAAGCCATTTCACTAACAGGCCTGTTCATAAATTTGATTCTAATGTCTTTATGACCCCAGAAAGCAGAGATGAATTGAGCCGGCTTAATTGGCTGAAACACCATTGAAATGTAATGTGGGTGATTTAATCAGCCTATGGCACTAATGGAGTTAAGCACTTTGTCCACTAGGAAACTGTGTGAGCTTTCCATGAGTTTCTAAGTGGCTGCTTATTGCCCTATGTCAGGCACTTTCCTTTGTAGTTTGCATATGGCCCCTTTTATTTTCCCTGAGAGGGAAAAGTCTGTGGAGCATGTATTTTAAAAACAGAGCAGTGGCAATTTTTAAATCAACACTGTAAGATTGGGGGAAAAATAAATTGCATGTTATCCCTTCTTGTAGAATACTTTCCAGGCCAGCTTATTTCCGTTTCCCTACACCACTTGTTGTTGTTTACCAAATTGAGCCCACTTTGCACCAATTTCTTTGAATAATAAATGTTCGCTAGTCATTGGCCATTATAAAGGGGTAGGTAGCAGGGAAGCCAAAAAAAAAATTATTTTATTTATTTATTTATTTTTGAGACACAGTCTCACACTGTCTCCCAGGCTGGAGTGCAGTAGCATGATCTCAGCTCACTGCAACCTCTGCCTCCCAGGTTCAAGCAATTCTCCTGCCTCAGCCTCCCAAGTAGCTGGAGTTACAGGCGCCCGCCAACACGCCTGGCTAATTTTTGTGTGTGTGTGTGTGTTTTTAGTAGAGACGGGGTTTCACTACGTTGGCCAGGCTGGTCTCGAATGCCTGACCTCGTGATCCACCCACCTCAGCCTCCCAAAGTGCTGGGATTACAGGTGTGAGCCACAGCACTTGGCCAAAAAAAAAATTTTTTTGAAGTATCATCCATTATCTGTGTTACCTGAAAATGTGTGGGATATTCTCACTATTAAGAGGTGGTATTTCCTGGTGGTCTCTAGATCCAGAGTGTGTCTAGTTACACCCTTGTCAGCTCAGATCCCTTCTGTGACCCTTCTTAGCTGCATCCCTTTGGGCAAATAACTGAATCTGGGAATATCCTTAAATCCGACGTTGGATTCACAGCATAATCTAAACATCCAGTTATGTGTCACAGAGGCTTGCCTGCTTAACTCTCAGCACTCCTGTCTTGTCTAGTTGCAGCCTGCACTCCTTCCCAGCAGCCGGTGAATCCCACCAACGTGACCCATTTCCTCCTAGGATGGTGCCTCAAACATGGTGACTTTATTCTCATAGCCCCTTTTCTTCCTAACATCCATTTGGGGGAATGCATTCTAATGCATTGTTTCCCTTGGCAATTACACTTGGGTAATATAAAGCAAAATATTTTTCTGCCCAGTCTTTCGGACCAGCACAAAGTGATCTCTGATTAAGCGTACATCTTAAACCACAGTACTCTATCTGTTTTATTCTTCCTTTATGAAAAGCAACAACCGTAACTGTGTTCTATGGAAAAATTTCTACAAAAACACTGCTTTACCTTTTTCTATCCCCAAATTTTGATAAATGAAGCCTATTTTAATAAAGGTCTTCAATATTCATGTTAATTATTTACTTTTTTTTAAGGTTTTCTTTCTTTTTTTTTTTTTTTTACTTTAAGTTCTGGGACACATGTGCAGAACGTGCAGGTTTGTTACATAGGTATACATGTGCCATGGTGGTTTGCTGCACCTATCAACCTATCATCTAGGTTTTAAGCCCAGCATGCATTAGGTATTTCTCCTAATGCTATCCCTCCCCTTCCCCCCAACCCCCTGACAGGCCCCAGTGTGTGTGATGTTCCCTTCCCTGTGTCCATGTGTTCTCACTGTTCAACTCCCACTTATGAGTGAGAACATGTGGTGTTAGGTTTTCTGTCCCTGTGTTAGTTTGGCAAGAGTGATGGCTTCCAGTTTCATCCATGTCCCTGCAAAGGACATGATCTCATTCTTTTTTTATGGCTGCATAGTGTTCCATGGTGTATAGGTGCCACATTTTCTTTATCCAGTCTATCATTGGTAGACATTTGGGTTGATTCCAAGTCTTTGCTATTGTAGTGCTGCAGTAAGCATATGTGTGCATGTGTCTTTATGATAGAATGATTTATCATCTTTTGGGCATATACCCAGTTGGTGGGAGTGTAAATTAGTTCAACCATGTTAATTATTATTATATGCATTCAAAATTAGCTATCAAACTGCAGTAGAATTACGACTAATTTTACTTGTCAAAACAGCTAACAATTTTATTGTCATTCTATATGAAGTATTGCTATTTTAAGTGAGAACTACTAATGTATGTTATTTTTTTAAATGAAGGGAGATGACATATCCTGGCTAAGATAGGAATGGCAGTTTCCACTCAGTTGATCCTGCTGCCCGTGTTGAGAAGTTTGCTGAGTCTGGGTAAAGAAGGCTGCAGCCAGGCAGAGTGAGGTGGCTATTTGGTGGTATCTGTCCCACGTGGGGCACAGGATGGTGGAGGATACAATGGTGCCAGAGAATAGGATAGATAATACAAGAGGTACACTTGGGGAGGATGCTGGAAACATTGTAGAAAAACAAATTTAAAATATAGATAAATTTTAGATTACTGTGTCTGAGGTAAGCAGAGAAGAATGAACAAAGTGTGAATAAACAAATTAAGCCAAGTGAACTATGACACTTAAATTTTTATTTTGTCACTTCATGAAACATGAAGTTAGCTGTATTTATTTTTTAATTGCCCTTTCCATTATGTAGAAGTTAGTAACTTTTTAAAGTTTTCTAGCCAATACCATTTGCCTACCGTTGTCATATAGAAATTTTATGTGAATATCGTTTATGTAATATAGCTGGTAAAATTTAGCAAAAATTTACTTTATGCCAGTAATGTTGCTAAGTGTTATTGCATTGAAACTTTACAACAGCCTCCTAATGTAGGTACTGTTATAATTCCCATTTTTTGAATGAGGAAACAAAAACTTTGATAAATTAATTGACTTGGAAATGTCACAGAGTCAGTAATAGCAAAACTAGGACTCAAATCCAGTAATACAGTTTTTTTTCAATGCCCTAACATTTAACCACCTGGTAAAATATCTATCTATATATTCTCAGTGAGAGAGATTTGATTTATATTTTTATTCAGACAATAAATATTATATAAACAGTCAAGCGTAAACTGTTTGGATGCTTTTGATAATATGTAATTTTCATTATTTACTTCAGTCAATATATGTGTAGACATCGCATGTAATTTTATATATACTGACCAGTTATTCATAGAAAGATGATAGCTTAATCCAGTCCACAAATATCATTCATAGTGGTGAATTACAACTTGCTTTTCATTAGCAAAATGAAGAAATATCATTAATATCCTAGATTAAAAATTAATGTTAAAATGATATTTTTAAATGATGAAATAACATAATAGCATGTAGGCATACATATTTTCTGCAAATAAAATATTGCAAAGGAACATGCCACTGTTTACCAAAGAGGCTAGTAATGTGAGAAGCCAATTTTCATTTCTATATATTGGCAATGTTTCTTTTATAATATATTTATATTATTTTCCTAAATTACTTCTAGGACTGATATTATTTTACTGATGCTGTAGGAATTGAACACCTCTATTTCTTCCTCATGTATATTGAAATCAAGGGCATTGCTTTCATTATGTAATTTAAAAATAATTCTGAATACTAAAACAGCATTTAGAGTAGTTTACTTCAGCTCACTTCAACAAATGATATGAAAGATATACATATAGGCACTGCACAGTTCTGGAAAATTCTATGATTACCAATCAAACTAGGAAAATCATGCTATTTTCTCTTATAAAAATTTACATTACTGGATTTATAGATGGAACACAGTATGAAGAGTCTAAATTTCAGCCCCATCTTGGATTCTAATTTGCAACGTAGCTTTTGACCAATAATTTAACCTTAGTTTTTCAGTCTCATTTTGTGACCTCTAAGGTCATTTCTAATTAAAAATTTTGGTGACATTATAAAATAATTGGTGAGAAGATTCTCATTAATTTTTAAATGTGATTGCTCTTCTGTTTTTTAATGTAAATATTAAAACCAATGTAGTAAGAGCCTGCAAAATGCGGAAGTACCTGAAACAGTTGAAAACTGTAGATATAAATGCCAAGTTTAACTGCTACAATTTTTTTTTCTGTAAAGGAAATGCTCCATTATATCTGCTCAGCTCGAATTTAGTGTAATTAATTAAATATTATGCTTCTTTTTAAACTAATTCCCATTGATTTTTATATGAGACAATTGACAAAAATAATGATGTTAACACTTCTTTGATTCCTTTCCTAATTAAATCTATTTTGATTTTGATGCAAAGGATATTTTAACATAAAATATTAACAGCACTGTGTTCATTGGATTATGTACTAATTTATTGAAATTGTGTGAAACAAAATGAAGCAAATATTTTTTAAAAAGCGTTTCTTTCACACTTCAAGTCTCATGTAAATAGAATTAAAAGTAAAGTGTTAGAACATTTAAATTTGACTTTTAGACCCTTTTGAGGAATTACATTCAGTTTTTTCAAAAGAACATTAAATTTCACTAGAAAAACCTACTGTGGCAAAAATACTATTTCTCAATATATGTGATTTAGAGGCTTACAGGAGAAGGATGTATCCCCTGAATATAGCAGATCTTCAGGATGTATTTCTTCTATAATTATTTTGTATCATATGGACATTCCCCTATTTGCTTCTTATTGATAATCACTCATATTTAGAATTAAAAAGAGCCACATTCTTCATTTTTTCATTAAAGCTAGTAATTTCCCTTCTTCTTGACTTTTTTTTGAAAGAATTAATGTAGGTTTTATTTGCTTTTTTTATTCCTAAGGAACTGATTCTAGCTTAAGGAGAAAATGTTGGTAGTAGTGTACAAATTAAATTCAAGTTATCTGCAATCCTCCAATAGTAAAGTTTAGTAAATCTTTTCATATTTTGTTTATCCCACTTATATCTAATAATTATTAAATAAGAACATTTTCATATTCTCCATATTCTCTTGAAGTATTTTATAGACATAATTTTAAAGACTACATAACCAAGGAGAAGACACAGCTGAAATTACTCAACCATTCACCTTTTTGTACTTTCATACTGCTTTCCGTTACTCACAATGATATACGTAGCAACGACAAATACCTTTTAGGACAAACAGATTTTTTTATGTTTATGTTTACAGGTTTTTTATGCATGTTATTATTCATGAAATCTGTATTTTTTAAAGATACATTTCTAGAAATAGAGTTACAAAGTCACAAGATATGCATTTTTAAGAAGAGTTACATAAAATTTGTCAAATTTGCTTTATTAATATGGAGTCTTCACCAGTCTATGAGGGTATCAACCAAACAATACCTTTCAGAATTTAAAAAGCTTTCTGTTTTCATAGGTAAAATTTGGAATCTCATTGTTTTCATCTGGACTTTTCCCTTTCATTTAAAGTCACCAGCTGCATTAGCCCCAAATGGGAATCAGCCTGTCCTTTGAAGTTTGAAGCCAGGCATTGACTTCTCTCTAGCTGTGAAACTCCAAGGTGGCATTTTCTTTCAAGAAAAAGTTGTTTTGTTTACATCAAAAATCTGTTGTTTAGTG
Source organism: Homo sapiens (assembly GCF_000001405.40). Lineage (NCBI taxonomy): Eukaryota > Metazoa > Chordata > Mammalia > Primates > Hominidae > Homo > Homo sapiens. The sequence goes on along the minus strand of NC_000004.12, from coordinate 179,741,935 downwards.
TAGTCACCTTCATCAATGATCTTACCTAGATCTTCTGAATAACTTGCTACAGCTTCTCCATCAGCACTTGCTGCTTCACCTTGCACTTTTAGATTATGGAGAAATCTTCTTTCCTTAAACCTCATGAGGCAAACTCTGTTAGCTTCAGACTTTTCTTCCGCAGCTTCCTGACCTCTCTCAGGCTTCATAGATTTGAAGAGAGTTAGGGCCTTGCTGTGGATTAGGTTTTGGCTTAAGGGAATGCTGTGGCTGGCTTGATCTTCTATCCGGACCATTCGAACTCTCTTCATATTAGCAAAAAGACAGTTTCGCTTTCATATCATTCATGTGTTCACTGGAATATCACTTTTAATATCCTTCAAGAAATTTTATTTGGATTCACAATTTGGCTAACTGGCCTGAGAAGCCTAGCTTCCTGCCTATCTCAGCTTTGGATATGCCTTTCTCCCTAGGCTTAATCCTTTCTAGGTTTGAATTAAAGTTAGAAATGTGTGACTCTTCCTTTCACTTGAACACCTAGAAGCCATTGTAGCATTATTAATTGCCTTAATTTCAATATTGTTGTCTTGGGGAATAGGGAGACCCAAGGAGCGGGAGAGAGAGAGGGAAACTCCAGTCAGCGGAACAGTCAGACCACACACATTTATTCAGTTCGCTGTTCTATATGGACACATTTAGAGGTGCTCCAAAACAATTGCAATAGTAACGTCAAAAATCACTAAACACAGATCACCATAAGTGATATAATAATAATGAAAATGTTTGAAATATTGTGAGAATTACCACAATGTGACACAGAAACACGATATGAGCACCTGCCATTGGAAAAAATCGAGTCAATAGACTTGCTCAACACAGGTTAGCCACAAACTTTCAATTCGTATAAAACACAGTGTCTCGTAGCACAATGAAGTGAAGTGCAATAAGATGCGGTATGTGTGGACATCTCAGATTTGCTGAGGGGGTTCTCTTTAATGGAGCCTTTATTCTTAAACATCAGCTGAAAAGCAGCCACTGTTTGGACAATTGCAGAATAAAAAGAAAGAAAGAATAGCAGAGGGAAAGAAAGTATAGGGAAAGTACATGGACTTCTAAATATTCCATTTGAAAGAGGTGCTTGCCAATTCTTTTCATATTCGTTTACAAGGCAAACAATGTCACTTAACTTTAAGGAGATGGGAAAGGCCAAGACTCATCTGTGCACTGAAGGAGAACTGGGAATATTAGGTGGAATATTAATGACTATTATAATCTGACTTTCTTGTCACCAAATACTGTATATTCTCTTTCCTACATGTGGAATGTATTCACACTCTCTGTGACAGACAATCCAAAAATTCCATTCAATCACTGGGTCCAACTCAAAGTTTAAGAGCTTGAGTGGGGCCTAGCATTTTCATCATCTACTTTGCATCTATTTGCATATAGCCCTTCTCATCTAGAAATCTATGAATTGAAAAATTAAAAAAAATAGAAATTAGATGCCCTGCACATTCAATATGAAATGACGAAACTACGGCTGATGCAACCACAATGAACACCCCAACTTGGAAAAATGTGGTATGGGGATCATAGCAATTCCGACATTCCACTTGACGTTGTGGAGATGGGCCATCACTTTGGTAGGGTCTCATATTTCTTCAGTAACTTCACACTCATTTTCCTGGGAGGGACTCAGTCTATAATTGTCCATGTTCCTTTACTTTCTGCCTTTTGAGATATGTTTCATTTTTCATCGTTTTTCTTGTCCGCACTATATGAGCATTAGAGAAGACTTTCTCTTTGAGGTGAGCAGTTTTCTCCATCTGCTTTCCTACTGTTGAAGGTTGGAGGTTCAACATCTTTTGAATTCTCAAGGAGTTATAAATATTCTTAGTTGTAGCTTGTGAGTTACTTATTAATTTATATAGTAATGTAATTCTATTAAAACTCACTTGACTTCTTCATTTTATTTCATTGATCTCCCTGTGCTAAAAGCTACATCCAAAGCTTTTTCTAGACACAATTCTTAAATTTACTACATTTATTGCTTTCTTTCCCTCATGCCTTTTATCACAACTTAATTGGAGGTGGCTTGACTTTTAAGATTTGGATTTGAGAGTCCCATATTGAGTCTTTCTCTACCTTACCTCTTTCATTGAAAGGATTTACTAGGTTTCTGAATTTGGTTTCTGCTCTGAAACATCTTAATTCATTTAGATATTTTAACGATGGGTCTATTAACTTTAGCATTGATTAAATATTTGCCACAAGGCTGAATTTTAAATGGCTTTGACTTTTAAACTTTTCCATTTCATCATTTATCATTTGGGGTTAAAGAATCCTTACCCCTTCTAGTCAGGCAAATCTCTAAATTTCTGTACTTTATTCTTCTTTATTTATTTTATTAAACCAACCTCTTCTTTCTTAGATTCCCTCTTTTTATACTGCCTTATCCAATGCAGTCCTATCAATCAATACACAGAAATAACATTCTACTTTGCAACCTCTTTCTCTACAGCTGCAATCCTTTAGGTATATTGTCTGCTTCACAAATGAATGAAGGCAACAAATTAAACAAATCTTCTGCCATATGTATCATCGCATTCCATTTTGCAACATCTGTTTATTCCCTGCTTTCCAATTTAGGAGTAAGACAATGTCACATTTTCTTTAGCAGCATCTCTTTAATGGTATCGGTCAAGACAGTCCAGGTTATGCTGTAGCACCAAAGAAACCCCAGCAAAGCCTTATTTCTTGCTCATGCTTTATGCAAATCTTGGGTTGACTGGGGTCTCCATTCTACTCCATGTCTTCCCACATGGCGCAGAAAGATGGAGGGGCTATATCTGAAGCCTTGTAAGGCACTAAAGTAGGAGGAAGGAGACTCTAGAAAATCCCCCTTTAGCTCTTAAAACCTCTGTCTAGAGGTAGTACACATCACTTTTCTCATGGTTCATTGACCAAAACACGTCATATAGTCACATGTAACTTTAAAGTGGTAGAAAAGGATAATTCTACCGTGTACTTGGAGACTTTAATTAAATGACTACCAGAATAACAATTTCAATAATTACTGGTTTTAAAGTACTTTTAAACTTGGAATTGTATTTTATTTACTACTATCTCCTAATATTCAATGCTAAGTAAATGCTCTCATATATGTGAATAATTACACAAATTTGTGCATGATATTAGCAATTTTATCACTCAAATTAAGACAGAACATTTAGAGTATGTTTGAAATTGCCTTTCTGTTCAGGGGGTTGTTAAATATTCAAATGTAGGTGGTAACTGTTTACTTAGTTTTTTTTAATTGTAAAGATTTTAAACTGTTTTGTAATATTGACAATGCTGCAGAAGAATTAGAAAACAATATCTTAACTAGTGTTTAGCTTTCAAATTTCATGCATTGCATATTCATCAGCTCTTCGCTGATTTTTAGCGGCAGTGTGCTCTTCACTACTAAGTAATGGTAGCCTGCTTGGAAAAGTCTCATGTTATAATCTAAAATAGTTATGCTCTCATAGTTTAAAATACTCACCCCATATTTGCATTCATTCCCTGACCCCTGCTGTCTCACTCGTTGAGAAAGATAGAAGGACACAATTAGAGTCTTAAGAAATTCTTAAACTTCAGTGTTTCTGGGTGACAGATTAGCAGGAGGAAGGATCGTTTAGATGTATCTCCTGTTTTGTTAGTTCACATGCAAACAGCATCCAATGAAATCATTTGACATATTCTCTTAAAGAGGGCACTGGGGACCTTTCATAACCCTGTCTTCAAGTACCACCTCTCTAGTCAGTAAAACATTTTATTGCTTATTCTGATACATAGGTGCACTGAGGCTCTGTGCCCAGCATTATTTAGTACTATTTTCATACATTCATAGAAACATAGTTTAATGGGCATTATGATATACGGTTAAGTGGTCTAGGTGACGCCAGATAGTAATCTTTGAGTCAATAAAGGGAACAGCATTTTAAGAAAAGAACGAGCAAACCCTAGCTGTAGGAGTAGCAAAAAGAACATTATGAAAGATTTAAAAGCAAGGCACACATTTTCTGGTCCAGGAGCTTGTTCACTGAGCAATAAAGCCTGTTCTCAACCCTATTGTAAAGATTTGCCTATGGACTATAGTGGAGCAATTTGTTTAAGCAGCTGATATAACACTATCATTTAAGAATGATTTTCCAAGGTTATGTTTCTTGAAGATTACCAGAGAAATAAATTGAAAAATGGATATTCCTGGTGGAGAATAAAAGTATCTCTGCCATATTGCTGTTTCTCACCGAGGACTTTCTCCTGATCAATTGCCTCATTAAGAAAATAGTAACCCACATTAAATGATGCCTATTAACATGATCATTCATGTCGTCTTTCATTTTGAATAGCATCTTTTCCAACTTTAATTCTTCAGCTTCTCAGAATTGGTCTAAATTGAGTTCCGAAACATTTGTATCAATTTCTTAATAAAATGCAAGAGAAAATTCTGAAGAACAATGGTTTTAATCCAACTCTTCACTGATATATTAAGATTTGTGCTTTATAATTTTATTCATAAAATAATTTTTCTCTGATATTGTTTATATTCTTTACTTTTTAGAGTTTTAACTTTTTCACTCATGAAGTATAATATGGATGTATTAATTGTGGAACTCATGTAAAAATATCCTTTGAAATAAAGATAATGGATATTAGTATTTTATAGCAAGTCAATTAGTGGAAGTTTGTCATTTAGTGCATAACTCATTACCAAATACGGAAACAGAATTTAAAAAACAACAAAAGTGTTCTCATTGTTCAATTCCCACCTATGAGTGAGAACATGTGGTGTTTGGTTTTCTGTCCTTGTGATAGTTTGCCCAGAATGATGGTTTCCAGCTTCATCCATGTCGCTACAAAGGACGTGGACTCATCCTTTTTTATGGCTGCATAGTATTCCATGGTGTATACGTGCCATGTTTTCTTAATCCAGTCTATCATTGATGGACATTTGGGTTGGTTCCAAGTCTTTGCTATTGTGAATAGTGCCACAATAAACATACGTGTGCTTGGACACAGGGAGGGGAACATCACACACCGGGGCTTGTGGTGGGGTGGGAGGATGGGGGAGGGATAGTATTAGGAGAAATGCCTAATGTAAATGACGAGTTAATGGGTGCAGCAAACCAACATAGCACATGTATACATATGTAACAAACCTGCACTTTGTGCACATGTACCCTATAAGTTAAAATAAAATAAATAAAACAACAAAAAAATCAATAACTAAAAATCCTGCATGAGAGCCACCAGAATAACTTAAATTAAAAAGACTCGTGACCAAATATTAATACAGATGGAGAGCAACTTGAACTCTTACATTGTGGTGAGAAATAAAGCAACTAGAGAAAAAGTATATATATATACATATATACATATATATACATATACACTTTATATATATGCTTTATATATATATACTTTATATATATGCTTTATATATATACACACACACACACATGCACAAAAAATTACATAAACATTCAGAGAAACTTTATTTTTAGTTACTAAAATCTGGAAACTGCCCAGATGTTCATAAAGAGGTGAGCCTATAAACACATTGTTGTATTTATAAAAGAGAACAATATGCAGCATTACTTCTGACACATTACATTGGTCAAAACGATGAATGCCAGCATTGTGCTGAGTGAAAAGATCCTTACACATAAGTAGTACACATTGTAAGATTCTATTTGTATGAATGGAACAGGTAAATGCCGTCTATGATGTGGTAGAAAATATAAAAACAGTGGGGTTTAAGATAGGGGTAGTGACCTGCTGGAATAAAGCAAGACAAGACTTTCTGAGGCAATCACAATGCTTTATATCTTGATAACAAAAATATATACATTTGTCAAAACTTAGCACATGCCCACTCAATATTTTTGAATTTGAGAGTATGAAAATGTTTCGTTCAAAGAAAAAACTAAACAAGTATTGAATTCTAGTTAATGCTGTGAAGACTGAAACATTCAGTGGAAGTATGTAGATTTCTTCAATGTACTTGTATTGCATAAAAAATAAGATGGATGGGATTATATATGCTAAATCATGTAATATGTGTACATCATATGTTAACAGTAGGATCTAGGTGGTTATTATATGGGTGTTCACTTAAAATTATTTCAACATTTCTTTATGATTAAAATTTTCCATTATATTAAAAATATTAAATTGGCACAGAAGAGACAAGTTTGTTGTGACTGCAATAACACTAATAAAAATCAAGTGATGATTTTAAAGCAATTATTTAACACAACTTCTTTATTAATAAGAAAATAAGGGACATAGCGTGAATTGTTCTGAAAAAAAGTGATTTACCAAGCAATAGTGGTTTGTGTAAACTTTTCTCAGAAAAAGGAAATAAAGATTTTCCATTTTTTCCTTAAAGAATGAAAAAGAGTCAGGAAAAATCACTTCAACCCAAAGTTTCTTAAGTGGGAGTAGTCAGTAGAAAGACCAAGATCAGTGTCCTTTGCAGGGACATAGATGGAACTAGAAGCCATTCTCTTCAGCAAACTAACACAGGAACAGAAAACGAAACACTGCATGGTCTCACTTCTAAGTGGGAGCTGAACATTGAGAACACATGGACACAGGGAGGGGAACAACACTCACTGAGGCCTGTCATTGGGAAGCAGGGAGGGAGAGCATCTGGAAAAATAGCTAATGCATGCAGGGCTTAATACCTAGGTGATGGGTTGATAGGTGAGGCAAACCACCATGGCACACATTTATCTATGTACCAAACTTGCATGTCTGGCACATGTATCCCAGAACTTAAAATAAAATAAAATTATAAAAAAACAAAAAACTATCACCCTAAGGTTGGCATGTACCCTTCTCCTCTGTGATGTTACAATTGCATTCCACAATCTGTGTTCATACACAATATATAATATGATGGGATTTTTTTTTTAAAGAAACCTTTATATAAACAGTAAAAAGAAAAAGAAAGGGTCAGGTGTGGTGGCTCACACCTGTTATCCCAGCACTTTAGGGGGCCGAGGCGGGTGGATCACCTGAAGTCATGAGTTCGAGGCCAGCCTGACCAACATAGAAAAACCCCATCTCTACTAAAAACACAAAATTAGCTGGGCATGGTGGCACATGCTTGTATTCCCAGCTGCTCGGGAGGCTGAGGCAAGAGAATCGCTTGAACCCGGGAGGCGGAGGTTGCAGTGAACTGAAATTGCACCATTGCACTCCAGCCTGGGCAACAAGAGTGAAACTCTGTCCTCCTCCCCCCACCCCCCCCAAAAAAAAGGAAAAAAAAAAGAAAGATCAAGATTAAAGACTGTGTTTGTTTTGCAATAAGTCAATTATCTGTTTCAAAGAAAATTAATAAGAGATCCCTGATTAACTTATTCACAGGGAAGATTGCTGACATTAAACATTTGTTATAGTAACTGGACTGTACCATCATTGATCAAGAGACAGTTACCCAGGTAGCACACCTTGCTGAGAACTGGTCTTACAAATTTTAAAAGTCATTCTGACTTTCATAGCTTGCTTAGTGATGTGATTTGTCTGTGTCCCCACCCAAATCTCATTTTGAATTGTAGTTCTCATAATCCCCACACGTCACAGGAAGGACCTGGTGGGAGGTAATTGAATCGGGGGTGGTGGTTACCCTCATGCTGCTCTCCTGATAATGAATGAGTTCTCACGAGATCTGATGGGTTTTTTTGTTTTGTTTTGTTTTGTTTTGTTTGTTTGTTTGTTTGTTTGTTTTTTGAGATGGGAGCCTCACTGTCACCCAGGCTAGAGTGCAGTGGCACGATCTCCGCTCACTGCAAGCTCCGCCTCCCGGGTTCACGCCATTCTCCTGCCTCAGCCTCTGGAGTAGCTGGGACTATAGGTGCCCGCCACCACGCCTGGCTCAGTTTTTGTATTTTTTGTAGAGACGGGGTTTCACCGTACTAGCTAAGATGGTCTCGATCTCCTGACCTCGTGATACGCCCGCCTTGGCCTCCGAAAGTGCTGAGATTACAGGCGTGAGCCACCGCGCCCGGCCAAGATCTGATGGTTTTATAGGGAACTTCCCCACTTTTGCTCAGCACTTCTCCTTACTGTCGCCTTGTGAAGCAGGACGTCTTTGCTTCCTCTTCCATCAGGATTGTAAGATCCCTAGGCCTCCCCAGCCCTGCAGAACTGTGAGTCGATTAAACGTTTCCTTTATAAATTACCCAGTCTCAGATTTGTCTTTATTAGCAGTGTGACAACAGGCTAGTACACTTAGTTTCTTAGCTTATCCAGTTTCACAAGTGCCTGAATCTGTGAGAAATTTCTCAATCAAGTTTGCACATATGATAATGTATTACTATTAAAATGTGGTATGATGTGCCACTAATTTTTAATAAAATAAATATTTACTAATAATACATTTTTAATAGATTATGTATTGATATACAGTTGACCCTTTGAACCATGTGGGACCACTTTTACATGGATTTTCTTCTCTCTCTACTGTCCCTGACATGGCAAGAACAACCCTTTCTCTTCTTCGTTCTTGTCTTACTCAATGTGAAGATGACAAAGATGACAACCTTTATGATGGCCCACTCCCACTTAACGAACAGTTAATATGTTTTCTCTTAGAATTTTCTTAATGACATTTTCTTTTCTCTAGTTTACTTTACTGTAAGAACACAGTATATAATACATTTAACATGCAAAATCTGTGTTATTCGACTGTGTTATTAGTTAGGCTTCAGGTCAACAGTAAGCTATTAGTAATTAAGGTTTGGTGGAATCAAAGTTACAAGTGAATTTTTGTCTGCATGGGGGTCAGTGCCTGTAACCCCCACACTGTTCAAGCACCAACTGTGCAATTAATACAGTAGCTGTAACTGTTTAATATTTGAGTATTTATTATGTATTGATAAAATTCTTGTAGCATTTAGATATGCATAAACCACCGCAGAATTTAAATTTTATACTTTAAATCCTTAATATATCACTTTATATTACCTTTAGTGTTTGACTATCTGGTTTTAAAAGGTATTGAAAAGTCTTGTTGATTATAAAGTAAGTCAATATTCACAAAACACTGTTAGAGGGAAAAAAAATCTTGAAAGAAACTAGAGTACTTATTTGAGAAAAGGTTGTAAGAATGGTCTATGGAAAGGATAAGGACTAATGAAGATGCTAGTGTCCCTGCAAAGTAATTAAGCTGTTATGAAACTCTAATTCTTTGTTTAAACCCAGCAATGTTTGTGTCACACAACGGAAAGTCTTCAAAGAATTAAGTTTGAGTCACTTAAATATGTAATAGTGAACAAAGGACTGTGTTTTGTTTCTTATCGCATAAAACAAACCTTTTGAGTATGTATTATTTTTAATTCATTGATGATCTAAGCTAAATTTCTTAGAGCATTTATGAAAAATAATTTAAAGTAAACTAATATTTTCCCATACTGGAGAACTGCCCTACTTTTTCAATAAAATGACAGCAACTTTTCCTCAGGAAGATATAAAGCAAAGAAACAAACTGTGAACATCTGATTGGCTAATTTAACACCATCCTTGTCTTAAAATCTTTAACCCTCACTTAAGAATGCGTAATAGTGTCTCCAATTGTCAGCCTAATGATATGTTTTCCTTTGACATATTTCTAGAGTTCAGTATAGATCGTGACCTTGAGCAAACAAAAAGATTACTTGGTTTTGTCATTAGCATAATGCTCAGGTCAAAGTCTCTCAGAAGAAAATGCTATTTAAGGTCTGGTGAATATATCTGAACTTGCTTACTGCATTTCAATGTAAAATAGCATCAGTTATCACAATGGCATTCGAAAAGTTTATATGAAAAAGTCTCAGTATTTTGAAATAGTTATATAAATACAATTATACGTTATCAAGTATTAGGGAATGATAATAAATACTATTTTCTGTTGTGAATTCAGCATAAGAACGATATTTTGTGTATCAGAGATTTTGCAACAAAAATTGACAACTGGTATATTCTTTCAAGAGCTGTGAAGGTGATTTGCACCTTCGAATTACAAATTATAGTTACCTTAAGTATGTAATAGGTAAGATAACTTTTTTTCAAACAATATATTTGTGTATCTCAGACTTCTGATTAGGCATGTTCTCAGTTGCGAAGCAACACTTAGAAATATTTCAATCATATTTAATATTTTGAAGTCATAAGACAACACACTGTCTCCTTCTCTATTAACTATCATTCTGGCAAACATATCAGTTTATGGTTGCACTCTATTATTGGCTGACTAGCATTTCTGAAGGTCAAAGAGTAATGAGTAGAGATCTTCTTATAGCAGATCAAATATCACATTTCATATACCTTAAAACTGTACTTACAGATGCAAAAAATTTACATCTTAAGCATTTTGATCTTAGTGCATCTAAAAACATCATCCATGCTAGGCACTGTTGGCACTATCAGTGCATTCCCTTTGTATGCAAAGGGAAAGTGTTCAGGTATATGAAATGATGAGTACACCATACTTTTTCTGGGCATTAATCCAATGACCAGATACTTGGTGAAGTCCACACCAATTTGTGATAGCTAGTACAAACAATTCCTAATTAAGATTCTTTAATTGGGACAGTGACCAAAAAAAGTATACCACCAATAGGAAATAAGAAAAAAATATACTATATTCATAATTATTTGAATTTTTCATTAATTCCATAAATATTCATCAAGTCTAATAGATGCTGAGTGATATCATTACCATGTTCAGTCTTTAATAAGGTGTAAAGACAGACTCTCAATTTGAGAAAATTGAGCCTCAGATACATTTTGTAACTGAAATTAGACTGTTAATATGAAATAACATTGAGTTTAATTTTAACTTCGGCTTCAAATCTCAAGCTCATTTTCTTCTGCTTCACTTGCACCCAATTATTCTTCCATGAGTTGAAAAAAGGTCTCATTTACTCCTTTGATTTCCCTCCTCTTTCCTCTAATGTTAAAATACCTTTTCTCAGTGTAAATGTTTCCATTTTGTCCTTGCTGTCCTGTGTGCTAATATCTCCAACTCTTTTTTTTCTTTTCCGCTACACACTCCTGATTTTGTACTGCTAGTGTTTAGTAAAGCACTGGCTGTCACAGTTATTTATTGATTAACCTGTTAAAGTATTTTGAAAGCCTATGTGTATCCTTACATATATTTATCTTGACATCAAAATATTTGTCAAAATTTAAATAGTTGCAAATAGTACATTTTGGCAAATTGCAACTATTAACACTTTAAAATAAAACTGCACCTAACTATTTTAAATGTGTCCATTGAAATCTAATTGACATTTGATACTATCATTCATTCAGAGAAATATATGAAAATGAGTTTAAGTGTCAGAAATTTTATATTACTTATTCTCCCTTATCTTTGTATTTTACTTTCTCTCCAGAATTTTTTTCTTATGAAATATAATTTTATACTTGATAGTGTTTTATTGATCATACTGTACTGAAGCAAAAATGTGTATATAAATTATATGTATTTAAAAAATGCTCTGTGATGATAAATATTACGTTTCTGTATTTATTTACTATTAAGATTTGTATTAATATAAACTTGGAGCATTTGTATATTACTAAATGTAATAATTTTTAAAAGGATAGAAAAATTTTTATTCAAAATGCTTCTATTAAATAGTAAAAAATGGCTGTTTGATTCCTTTTTAAATTAATTTTTATATGTAGTAATGAATAGTACATATTGCTTGAGATGCTGGTTAGCATAAGTTCTATTTTTCTTTTTTTGTAAGTATATGTGCTGACAAGGGTGTTTCATTTAAAGATATGTAACTGGCAGAAAGCTTTGTAACGATGCAACAAAACATTTTGAATTCCTCCAAAGTTAGATACAAAAAATTGCCTGGTAATTTATAATCAAAACATATTGTTAATGACCTACCAGCTGAAACCTCAATTAAGTATTTCTTCAATGTATTGACAGTAAAGAAATGGAAGCCAATTGGTTTGCATACAATTTTCTTAAAAGTATTCATTTTTTTCAAGCTGAACAGAAATATATTGAAATATCCATTTGTCATGTACAGGGAGGTTTTGTGCACAACATGGTAATGTACCAGTATTTCACGATAGTTAAAGATCTTTGCTTCTCTTGTAAAGTGTGATAAGGCAATTTTGAAAGGGGAGTAAAAAAAGGGTAGGGTAGGGTCTAAAACAGATTAAAGAGAATTGTATCAGTGGAAGTTGAAAAAGTCCCTAAACTATGTATTCATTCCTGAGTATCCCTCTGAAGCTATGAGTAACTTTGTGTGTAGGTACATTCCAGTTTGAAGATCCTGTTCTAAATAATTAGCTCTAGTTAACTGAAGATTCCTTTTAACTTTATAAATAACTTCTTTCATGGTCTGTATTCTGGTCCTTTGACATCTTGGAGTCTTGCTGACCCTGAAGGGACAGTCCATTTCAAGGATAGCCAGTTCTGAGAAAGAGTACACAACTCCTCTGGGATGGTGCCTTGCAAAGCAAACCAACCGAGGCAGAGCGAGCCCACATGTTCAGCCACCTCTTCTAGCCCTTTTGTAGGTTACTATTTCCCTGCCCTGATCCCTCAAGGGCCAAGTACCAGACAACTAAGAATAGTTGGTGTACCCCAGAGCCTGCTGAAATTATTCAAACTAGCCAAGTATAAGCCCATGTAGCCTACCTTGCCCCTTCCTTCCTGCAGAAACCACTGTAAAAGCTTGTACCCACATTTTCCTCATGCACCCTCTGCCTCTGATGGACCCTGGTGCTTTCCCAAGTGGCCATGTGTGGCACGCACTGCCTCCTTTTTCTAGGAAACTGTGAGTATCATGAATTCCTAGCTTCAGGGTACCATTTAAACAGTAACAAATAAGGCATACGTCATTTTCTTTCAAAAACTCTGTCCCTTTTTTCAGGAAGCATGCACACATCAAGGCAAATTTACGCTTTTTGCACTCCATGCAATAAGCATGAGGACTAAGCTCTCGTTTTTTGTTTTGTTTTGTTTTGTTTTTCATCTTGCCCAAATTCTTATCTACGGTGTCTGGGAAGTCATGCCCTGCAAACCATAAACTCTCATCAGATGGATTTTATTTAACCCTATTAGTGTTTGGGAAGTCATGCCCTACAAACCATAAACTCTCATCAGATGGATTTTATTTAACCCTATTATGTCATGACTTACTTTCCAATCTGACTCTGGCATGACATTATGTGACAAGGAGGAAAATGAAAATATTTTATCCCAAACCATGTTTCTTGACCATATTTTGAAATGGCCCTGCAAAGCCATCCCTTGTGAGAGAAAATTTGCATCTGTAAAGAATCTCTATTAACATAACTAGATCTTCTTCTTCCAAGCCCTCCCAATCCTGAAGAGATTAACTGAAGGTCTAGCACCTTTTGAAGGTCTGAATAGCAAACACTTGTCATCTATTGTCTCTAAGGGCAGCCACTATGAGACTTCAAAAGAACCTCGGTATCTGCAATCTTTTAACTTAAACATTTCCTTGCGATTAATCCCAGGTCATTAGACCAACTCAACCAATTGTAAACCAGAAAATGTTTAAATTTACCTATAGCCCAGAAACGAGTCCCCTCTCCTCCCCCGCACCACAATTTTTCCACCTTTTTGGAGGAAGCCAATGTATTTCTCAAATGTATTTGATTGATGTCTCATGCCTCCCTAAAATGCGTATAACCAAGCAGCTCCCTGACCACATTGGGCACATAGTCTCAGGCCCTCCTGAGGGCTGTGTCATGGGCCATGGTCACTCATACTTGGCTCAGAATAACATTTTACAGAGTTTGACTCTTTTCATCAACGAGCAAAATTTCACGCGCCTCCGTGTGAAGAGACCACCAAACAGGCTTTGTGTGAGCAATAAAGCTTTCTAATTACCTGGGTGCAGGCGAGCTGAGTCCAAAAATAGTCAGCTAAGGGAAATAGGGCTGGGGCCATTTTATAGGATTTGGGTAGGTAATGGACAATTACTGTGAAAGAGGGTAGTTCTCTGGCCTGCAGGGGTGGGGGTCACAAGGTGCTCAGTGGGGGAGCTTCTGAGCCATGAGTAGGAATTTCACAAGGTAAGGTCATCAGTTAAGGCAGGAACAGGCCATTTTTCACTTCTTTTGTGGTGGAATGTCATCGGTTAAGGCAGGAACTGACCATTTTCACTTCTTTTGTGATTCTTCACTTGCTTTGGGCCATCTGGACCCATACGTGCAGGTCACAGGGGATATGATGGCTTAGCTTGGGCTCAGAGGCCTGACACAAAACATGTCCCTTTAGAATGTACCTTTTGACCTTGCCCTCATTCACTGATTTATATTAGTGAAGAGTTCAGTGCTGTGTTTCATGTTTTGGATACCACAATATATATTTCTGACTTTCATTGATTAAAAATTTTCATTGATCTTCTCGATTATGGTGACTGAAAGCTACCTAAGGACTGAGACTGAATTTACCATCCCCTACCTTCTTTTTGGAATTCAAACAATCTAATTAACCTTCAAGATAAGCACAGCTTCAGCAGCTTCAGAATGGGCCAAATTCTTATCAATGGTGTGAAATTCCAGAACTTGACTAAAGAGTGAACTTATAAAAAGGTATCTATCAGTCATAGAAAGAAAGATCACAATATATCTATTTTTATTGTGTATCTAAGAGTCCAACTAGAAAAAGGGCAAGTACCTTATTACTGCAGGAAATTAAAGGAAGATGTTTTCTAAATAAGTCAAAAGTATTTTAACAGTTTCCCAATAAATCTCATCCCCATTAATTACATTTTGTAAAAATCCTATATCTACTCTAGGAATACAATTTCCAACAATGCCACAAAACCTTGGTCAAAAGTGGGTACATTTGTCAATGCATGACTTTTGATGGTGATATTGATATAAGAGTTAAGAATAAATCACTTAGGCAGTTAGCAAGGGTATGGGAGTCCTCAGTAAGGCTTTTCTTTTTAATGAAAAGCAGCCCCAAATCATTTTCTAACAAAGAGCAGCCTGAAAGCTGGGAGCTTGCACAGGTGAATTTCATGTGCGTCCGTGTGAAGAGACCACCAAACAGGCTTTGTGTGAGCAACAAGGCTGTTTATTTCACCTGGGTGCAGGCAGGCTGAGTCCGAAAACAGAGTCAGCGAAGGCAGATAGGGGTGGGGCCGTTTTATAGGATTTGGGTAGGTAAAGGAAAATTACAGTCAAACGGGGGTTGTTCTCTGGTGGGAAGAGTGGGAGTCACAAGGTGCTCAGTAGGGGAGCTTTTGAGCCAGGATGAGCCAGGAGAAGGAATTTCACAAGACAATGTCATCTGTTAAGGTAGGAACAGGCCATTTTCACTTCTTTTGTGGTGGAATGTCATCAGTTAAGGCAGGAACCAGCCATCTGGATGTGTATGTGCAGGTCACAGGGGATATGATGGCTTAGCTTGGGCTCAGAGGCCTGACATTCTTGTCTTCTTATATTAATAAGAAAGATAAAATGAAACAGTGGTAAAGTGTTGGGATGGCAAAAATTTTGGGGGATGGTATGGAGAGATAATGGGCGATGTTCCTCAGGGCTGCTTCGAGCAGGATTAGGGACGACGTGGGAACCTAGAGTGGGAGAGATTAAGCTGAAGGAAGATTTTGTGGTAAGGGGTGATATTGTGGGGTTGTTAGCAGAAACATTTGTCATTTAGAATTATTGGTGATGGCCTGGATATGGTTTTGTATGAATTGAAAAACTAAATGGAATAAGAGGAGAAAAACAGGTATTAAAGGTCTAAGAATTGGGAGGACCCAGGACATCTAATTAGAGAGTGCCTAAGGAGGTTCAGCATAGCCCTGCCAGCAAAGATTATTTATTTCAGAGTTAAGAGTGGCAGTTTGGGGGTAGCACCAGGAGATATCAGCTGTGATGACTTGGAGAAACAGTGTAAACTGGCAGTGTAAACAAGAGCAGGGCATGTATGAGTAGTTGAGAATGGTGAATAGGAGTATGACTAGACAGAAGATAGTAGGGATGACAAGTTTTTTGGGGAGCACAGTCCAAGTTGGTCTGGTGTCTGGAATGAGACTGGGGCCTAATAAAAAGGAGCGTCCATACAGGAGCTCAAATGGGCTCTACCCTGTAGCATTCCGAGGACAGGCCTGAATTCTGAGAAAAGAAAGAGGTAAAAGTATTGTCCAGTCCTTTTTAAGTTGGTGGCTGAGCTTGGTGAGGCGTGTTTTTAAAAGACCATTAGTCCGTTCTACCTTTCCTGAAGACTGAGGACCGTAAGGGATATAAAGGTTTCACTGAATACCAAGAGCCTGAAAAACTGCTTGGCTGATTTGACTAATAAAGGCCTGTCCACTATCGGACTGCGTAGAGGTGGGAAGGCCAAACCGAGTAATTATGTCTGACAGAAGGGAAGAAATGACCGCAGTGGCTTTCTCAGACCCTGTAGGAAAGGCCTCTACCCATCCAGTGAAAGTGTCTACCTAGACTAAGAGGTATTTTAGTTTCCTGACTCAGGGCATGTTGAGTAAAGCCAATTTGCCAGTCCTGGGTGGGGGCAAATCCCGGAGCTTGATGTGTGGGAAAGGGAGGGGGCCTGAACAATCCCTGAGGGGTAGTAGAATAGCAAATGGAACACTGAGAAGTGATTTCCTTGAAGATAGATTTCCATGATGGAAAGGAAATGAGAGGTTCTAAGAGACAGGCTAGTGGCTTGTAACCTACGTGGAAGAGGTTATGAAATGACGATAGAATAGAATGGGCCTGTGAGGCTTGAAGGAGATATTTTCCTTGGTCTAAGAACCATTTGCCTTGTGTGGGAAGAGATTGATAGGTGGAAGTTTCAGCGGGGGAGTAGGTGGGAGAGGCCAGATGAGAAGGAGAAAAACTGAAAGTGAGGGATATAAGTTGGAACGCTAGCTGCTTTTTTAGCTATCTTATCAGCATAAGCATTGTCCTGAGCGATGGGGTCTGATGCCCTTTGATGGCCTTTGCAGTGAATGACTCCAGCTTCCTTTGGAAGTAAAGCAGCTTTGAGAAGCGTTTTTATTAAAGAGGCATTAATGATGGAGGACCCTTGTGTGATGAGGAAACCTCTTGCATGGTGGTGCAGGATATGGAAGGCATATTTAGAGTCAGTATAAATATTGACCTTTAGTCCTTTTGCAAGAGTGAGGGCTTGCCTTAAGGCAATGAGTTCGGCTTGCTGAGAGGTAGTGGAGGGGGGCAGAGCAGTAGCCTCAATGATAGATGTGGAAGATACTGTAGCATAGCCTGCCTTTGCTGGTGAGTGGCGATTAGGCCTGGTGGAACTGCCATCAATAAACCAAGTGTGTTCAGGATGAGGAACATGAAAGAATATGGGGAAATGGAGTGAATGTCAGGTGGATCAGAGAGATACAGTCATGGGGGTCAGGTGTGGTATCAGGAATAATGTGGGAGGCCAGATTGAAGTCGGGCCAGGAACAATGGTAATTGTGGGAGACTCAACAAAGAGTGAGTACAGCTGAAGGAGCCGGGAAGCAGAACGTATATGTGTCAGGTGTGAGGAAGAAAATAGATTTTGGAAGTTATGAGAATTGTAGAGAGTGAGTTGAGCATAGTTTGTGATTTTAAGGGCCTCTAAAGTATTAATGCAGTGGCAGCCGCCACATGCAGACTTGAGGGCTAGGCAAAACAGTAAGGTCAAGTTGTTTGGATAAAAAGGCTACAGGGTGCGGTCCTGGTCCTTGTGTAAGAATTCTGACTGCACAGCCCTGCACTTCAGCTGTGGGTAATGAAAAGGGTTGGGATCAGTCAGGGAGAGCTAGGGTGGGGCAGTCTCTAAAGCTGTCTTCAAGGAATGGAAAGAGGAGTGGGGAAAGGATTTAGGATCTATGGGTTCAGCTAGGTTTCCTTTTGTGAGTTTATATAATGGTTTTGTTAGGATGGCAAAACCAGATATCTAAAGTCAAAAGTATCTAACCATGCCTGGGAAGGAAAGAAGTTGTTGTTTTGTAGAAGGGATTGAGGTTTGGGAGATTAGTCAGACACGATCAGTAGGGAGAGCACGTGTGTTTTTATGAGAATTATGCCAAGATAGGTAACAGATGAGGATGAAATTTAGGTTTGACTGAAGTAGTGGGGGCTGTCTGTGAAGGCTTGTGGCAGTACAGCCCAGGTAATTTGCTGAGCCTGATGGGTGTCAGGGTCAGTCTAAGTGAAAGCTAAGAGAGGATGGGATGAACGGTGAAAAGGGATAGTAAAGAAAGCATGTTTGAGATCCAGAACAGAATAATGGGTTGTGGAGGGAGGTATTGAGGATAGGAGAGTATATGGGTTTGGCACCAAGGGGTGTATAGGCAAAACAATTTGGTTGATAAGGCTCAGATCCTGAACTAACCTGTAAGGCTTGTCTGGTTCTAGGACAGGTAAAATGGGGGAAATTGTAAGGAGAGTTTATAGGCTTTAAAAGGCCATGCTGTAGCAGGTGAGTGATAACAGGCTTTAATCTTTTTAAAGCATGCTGCGGGATGGGATATTGGCATTGAGTGGGGTAAGGGTGATTAGGTTTTAATGAGATGGTAAGGGGTGCATGTTCGGTCGCCAAGGAGGGAGTAGAGGTATCCCATACTTGTGGGTTAAGGTGGGAGGATACAAGGGAAGGATGTGAAGGAGGCTTTGAACTGGGGGAAAAGGTGGCAATGAGCTGTGGCTGTAGCCCAGGAATAGTCAGGGAAGCAGATAATTTAGTTAAAGTGTCTCGGCCTAATAAGGGAACTGGGCAGGTGGGGATAACGAAAAAGGAGTGCTTAAAAGAGTATTGTCTAAGTTGGCAGCAGAGTTGGGGAGTTTTAAGAGGTTTAGAAGCCTGGCTGTCAATCCACAACAGTTATGGAGGCAAGGGAAACAGGCCCTTGAAAAGAAGGTAATGTGGAGTGTGTAGCCTCCATATTGATTAAGAAGGGGACGGATTTACTCTCCAATGTGAGAGTTACCCGAAGCTCGGCGTCCTTGATGGTCTAGGGGGCTTCCGAGGTGATCGGGCAGCGTCAGTCTTCAGCCGCTAAGCCGAGAAGATCTGGGAAGGAGTCAGTCAGAGAGCCTTGGGCCAGAGTTCCAGGGGCTCTGGGAGTGGCTGCCAGGTGAGTTGAACAGTCTGATTTTCAGTGGGGTCCCACACAGATGGGACGTGGCTTAGGAGGAATCCCAGGCTGCAGGCATTCCTTGGCCTGGTGGCCAGATTTCTGGCACTTGTAGCAAGCTCCTGGGGAAGGCGGGCCTGGAGGAATGCCTGGCCGCTGCGGTTCAGGTGTTTGGAAGTTCTTGTGTGCTGGAGATGTGGCTGGGGTTTGTCTCACAGTGGAGGCAAAGAATTGCAACTCAGAAATATGTTGCTACTTGGCTGCCTCTACTCTATTATTGTACACCTTGAAGGCGAGGTTAATTAAGTCCTGTTGTGGGGTTTGAGGGCCAGAATTTAATTTTTGGAGTTTTATTTAATGTTGGGAGCAGATTGGGTAATAAAACGTATATTGAGAATAAGACGGCCTTTTGACCTTTTAGGTTCTAGGGCTGTAAAGCATCCCAGGGTTGCTGCCAAACGAGCCATGAACTGAGCTGGGTTTTTATATTTGATGAAAAAAAGCCTAAATGCTATCTGATTTGGGATAAAGAAAAAGGAGCATTAACCTTGACTATGCCTTTAGCTCCAGCCACCTTTTTAAGAGGAAATTGCTGGGCAGTTTAAAAGGAGGGCTACTCACGGAATGAAACTGTAAGCCAGACCAGGTGTGAGGAGGGGAGGTGATAAAAGGATTATAGGGTGGAGGAGCAGAGGCTGAGGAAGAATTGGGACCTAGCTCGGCCTGGGGAGGAAGGGAGAGGTCAGATGGGTCTGTAGAAAAGGAAGATTAGAAAGACTCAGTGATGCTTGGGGTTGGGTCTGAGGGGACAGGCGGGAGGGAAAGAAGGAAGATTTGGGACCAGTTGCATTGGGAACAGAGACTAGGGAGGGACTGATGTATGAAAGAATGCCTGGACGTCAGGCACCTCAGACTGTTTGCCCATTTTATGACAAGAATTATTTAGATCTTGTAGGATGGAAAAAATGAAAGTGCAGTTTTCTGGCTATTTGGAACCACTGTCAAGTTTGTATCGGGGTCAAGCGGCATTGCAGAAGAAAATAAGGCATTTAGGTTTTAGGTCAGGTGTGAGTTGAAGAGGTTTTAGGTTTTTAAGAACACAGGCTAAGGGAGAAGAAGGAGGAATGGAGGGTGGAAGATTGCCCATAGTGAAGGAGGCAAGCCCAGAGAAAAGAGAGAGTAGAGACATGGAGGGAAGGGGTTCGGGGGTTCTTACCCTCCAGAAAAGCAGGAAAGGGCTTGGGGCACGGAAATAAGGGGTTGGGGCACAGAGATATGAGGTTGGGGAATGGGAATAAGGGATCGGGGTGCAGAGATAAGAGGTCGGGGTGCAGAAATAAGGGACCGGGGGGTTCTTGCCCCCCAGAAAAGCAGAGAAGGGGTAGAGACAGGGAGAGAAGCAGTCAAGTTTTTGCCCCTCCCCCAGAAAAGTGGGACTTGCTGCTAAGGGTGAAGGACGAAGGCAGGCATCCCTGAGTGGTCAGACACCTCTGAAACATGGATGAATAATCAGAGAAGCGTCCCTGCAATGAATAAACACCAAGGGAAGGCTGCCTTCCCGAGTCCGTGACCAGCGCCGGAGTTTTGAGTCCACAGATAAAACGTGTCTCCTTTGTCTCTACCAGAAAATGAAAGGAATTGAAATTAAGAGAAGGGAGAGATTGAAGTGTGGCGCCAAGATTGAAAGGAGAAAGAGGTTGAGGGATAGTGAGAGAGGTTGGAGAAGAGAGTAAAAAGAGGCCGCTTACTGGATTTAAAATTGGTGAGATGTTCCTTGGGCTGGTTGGTCTGAGGACCAGAGGTCGTAGGTGGATCTTCCTCATGAAACAAAGAGCAGGAGGACAGGGGATTGATCTCCCAAGGGAGGTCCCCCAATCCGAGTCACGGCACCAAATTTCATGTGTGTCCATGTGAAGAGACCATTAAACAGACTTTGTGTGAGCAACAAGGCTGTTTATTTCACCTGGGTGCAGGTAGGCTGAGTCCGAAAAGAGAGTCAGCAAAGGGAGATAGGGGTGGGGCCGTTTTATAAGATTTGGGAAGGTAATGGAAAATTACAGTCAAATGGGGGTTCTCTGGTGGGCAGAGTCGGGGGTTACAAGGTGCTCAGTAGGGGAGATTTTGAGCCAGGATGAGCCAGGAGAAGGAATTTCACAAGACAATGTCATCAGTTAAGGCAGGAACAGGCCATTTTCACTTCTTTTGTGGTGGAATGTCATCAGTTAAGGCAGGAACCGGCCATCTGGATGTGTACGTGCAGGCCACAGGGGATATGATGGCTTCACTTGGGCTCAGAGGCCTGACAGTGAATGCTGGCAGGAACTAAGGACTAGACATGGTCAAGATGGTAGCTCCATCTTCCTTTCTCTGCCAGGCACGGGTACTGTAAGGAGAAGACAAGATGGCACATTTACATGAGAAGGTTAGGGTGGGGCGACCAGCCTTCCCTGCACTATGTAAATGTCATACCTGATTGAATCAATCTATGAGCCCTATGTAAATCAGACACCGCCTCCTGAAACTAGACTATAAAACGGAGCATTTGCCACCAGCTGGTCCCTTTGTTCTCGGAGATGCCTACTCTACAGAGGAAGCAGTTTCTCTTTCTTTTCTCTTCTACCCATTAAACCTCTGCTCCTAAACTCCTCGCGTGTGTCTGTGTTCTAAATTTTCCTGCTGCGTGACAACAAACCCCAGGGTATATACCCCAGACAATGTAGCTGCTTCAGTATGGTTTGGCTCTGTGTCTCCACCCAAATCTCATCTCAAATTGTACTTCTCATGTATTGAAGGAGAGATCTGTAATCCCCACTTGTCAAGAGACGGAAGTGATTGGATTATGGGGGTGGTTTCCCCCATGCTGTTCCCATGATAGTGAGTGAGTTCTAATGAGAGCTAGTGGTTTTATAAGTGTTTGAAAATTCCTCTTTTGCTCTTCTCTCTCTTCTGCCAACCTGTGAAGAAAGTGACTGCTTTCCCTTCTGCCATAATTATAAGTTTCCTGAGGCTCCCTCAGCCATATGGAAATGTGAGTCAATTTTGTTTATAAATCTTTTGTTCATAAATTACTCAGTTTCTGGTAGTATCTTTAGAGCAGTGTGAAAACAAACTAATACAGGAAATTGGTACTGAGAGTGGGATACTGCTATAAAGATACTTGAAAATGTGGAAGCAACTTTGGAGCTGGGTAACAGGCAGTTTCGAACAGTTTGGAGGGCTCAGAAGAACAGGAAAATGTGGGAAAGTTTGGAACTTCTCAGAGACTTGTTGAATGGTTTTGACCAAAATGCCAATAATGATTTGGACAATGAAGTCCAGGCTGAGGTGGTCTCAGATGGAAATGAGTAACTTATTAGAAACTGGAGGAAAGGTCACTCTTGCTATGCTTTCCCAAAGAGACTGGTGGCATTTTGCCCCTGCCCTAGAGATCTGTGGAACTTTGAACTTGAGAGAGATGATCTGAAACTGGAACTTATGTTTAAAAGGGAAGCAGAACATAAAAGTTTGGAAAATTTGCTGCCTGAGCATGCAGTAGAAAAGAAAAACTCATTTTCTGGGGAGAAATTCATGCTGGCTACAGAAATTTGCATAAGTAATGAGGAGCTGAATGTGAATAGCCTAGACAATGAGGAAAATGTCTCCAGGTTATGTCAGAGAACTTCATGGCAGCCCCTCCAATCACAGGCCCTGTGGCATAGGAGGAAAACAAATGATTTTGTGGGCTGGACCCAGGGTCCCACTGCTTCGTACGGCCTCAGGACCTGGTGCCCTGTGTCCCAGCTGCTCCAGCTCTAGCAGTGGCTAAAAGGGGACAAGGTACAGCTCTGGCCTTTGCTTCAGAGGGTACAAGCCCCAAGCTGTGGCAGCTTCCACGTGGTGTTTGTTGGGCTTGTGCATGCACAGAAGTCAAGAATTGAGGTTGGAAACTTCTGCCTAGATTTCAGAGGACGTATGGGAATGCCGGCATGTCCAGGCAGGGGTCTACTGCAGGGGCAGAGCCCTCATGAAGAATCTCTGCTAGGACAGTTGGAAGGGAAGTGTGGGGTTGGAGCCCCCACATAGAATCCCCAATGGGGCACTGCCTAGTGGAGCTGTGAGAAGAGGGCCACCATCCTCCAGACCCCAGAATGGTCTGAAATCCATTTTCAGATCCACTGAAAGCTTGCACCATGTGCCTGAAAAAGCCACAGACACTCAATGCTAGCCTGTGAAGAAGTTGCCCAAGGCTGTGGGAGCCCACCCTTTGCATCAGTGTGCCCCGGATGTGAGACTTGGAGTCATTAAGATTTAATGACTGCCCCACTGGATTTTGGTCCCATTGGCAGCCAGCAAGACTAGAAAAAGCAGGCAGTAGAAGGTGGAATGAGCAGACTTGCTGAGTCTTCCAGCCTTCATCTTTCTCCTGTGCTGATGGCTCCTGCCCTTGAACATCAGCCTCCACATTCTTCAGCTTTTGGACTCTTGGACTTACACCGGTGGTTTGCCAGGGGCTCTCAGGCCTTTGGCCACAGACTGAAGTCTGCACTGTCAGCTTCCCTACTTTTGAGGTTTTGGGACTCGGACTGGTTCCTTGCTCCTCAGCTTGCAGATGACCTGTCGTGAGACTTCACCTTGTGTGTGTCAATTCTCCTTAATAAACTCCCTTCCATATATGCATATATCCTATTAGTTCTGTCCTTCTAGATAACCCTGACTAATTCAGAAGAAAAATGACTGTTGTAAATATTTAGCTTTTCATTCAAAGTTTTGGCTTGGAGAGTATCACAGATAACATCTTATCATCAATAATATATATATTTCTGGCGAATAGTATTTTTTTATTGGATCGTTAGATCCACACTTAAGTAATGGCTAATAAGTATCAGAATTTTCAACAAGAATTAAAAAATAAGTATTTCAACTAATCTTATTGTTTACTACCTAAAAGGAGGATTTTTAATTGTTAGTGGTATTGTCAGTCTGTGAGTCAGGGGAACAAAAATGAATTAAAGTCCTTTCCTCCACATGTTAACAACCATCTAGGCCTCTTCTTGCTACCAGTGGTGAATCCACATGGGTCTTCAGCAATTCTATTCTTGCTTCCTCGGAGGAAATAATTCAGCTGAGGGGAAGAAGTAGGTTTAAGGCAGAGGGAGAGGCTGAGGCAAGTTTTAGAGCAGGAGTGAGAGTTTATTAAAAAGTTTTAGAGCAGGAATGAAAGGAAGAAAAGCACACTTGGAAGAGGGCCAAGCAGGCACCTTGAGAGATCAGGTGCCCTGTGTAGCCCTTGACTTGGGGTTTTAACATTGGCATGGTTCTGGGGTTTGTGTTTGCCCTCCCTTGATTTTTCCCTCGGGGTGGGCTGTCTGCATGTGCAGTGGTCTGCCAGCACTCCAGAGGGAGCATATATGCAGTGTGTTTTCTGAAGTTGTGTGCATGCTCACCTGAGGTGTTTTTTCATTACCAGTCGAGTGTTTCTAGAAGAAGATCAGATACGAGTTAAGCTCCACCATTTTGCCTTTTAGTGTGCATATCTGAGCCAGCTCACCTAACTCCTGGGATCTTACTGGGAAGCTGCTGATCACCACCTCCAGATGTTGTCTATTAGGAGATTGATATTCCCTGGTGCTGGCTGTGACCAATTATTATTTTAGAGAGACAGCTTAACAATTGCCTGGCCATCACTGGATGGTCGCCTGACATTCCTGGGAAGAGATCCCTTCTCCTGCCCTGCTCATGTCTGCCTGACTACCTACTATCACATTCTCACACTGAAGTTGAAAAATGAGAAGAAAAGAAACACTGGAGCTATACATATTATTAAAATTACAAGAAAAAGAACACTAGTATTTAAGGAAAACTAATATTGAGAATGAAAGGTGAAGGCAGTTTTTTGTCAATGAGGTGATTTAGGAGATTTTGTGGAACCTGAAATGTGTTTGCTGAACATACCACACTCAGGCTTGCCTCCAGACCTCGGCATTTGTTCCGCTTTCTGCAGCACCTGTTGTTGCCTCCCTCACTCTTCTTTATCTAACTTACACTTGAATAACTTTCAAGTCTCCATTTAGCCATCACATTTTCCAGAAACATTTCTGGAAAATTGTAGGGTTGGTCACCTTCATGCTCGTTTACTTCACCGTGCTTACTCTCTTGCAGTGACCACCGTAATGTCATTGCCTGTTTATCTCTCTGCACTGCCCCCTCCTAGACCGTAAAGTTCTTAAGACTGATTGTTTTTTTCCACCACTATATCCCAAGTATGTAGCTCAGTAGCAGGAAAAGAGTTAAATAAATATTGAGCAATAGGCAGTGTTGTAGGTATTAAGTAAAGCAGTTAAAAATCCCTCATGGAGATTACATTGTAGAGGCAAAGACAGAATATAAACATAACAAGTAGGTAAAGGATATGGATGTATAATAAATAGACAAAAATAGATTTTTTAGTTTATAATTACAATGTAGAAAGTGTAACCAAAAAATTACCTTTAATGAGCAGGAAGAGTGTAAAATCCCTAGTATGTTATGTAAATTATTACATTTTACTGACGTACTGTGATGCGACAGGGGTAAGTTTCTGCAATTGAAACAATGACAATCAAACCATCATTCGAATATTTCAATTACATCAAGTGATTCCAATGTTCATTGAAGTAATATGTGTTACATGCCTAGGCCTTAAGAACTATGTTGGTGAGAGATAAATCATGTAAGCCAGATTTAAACTCACAGCACCACAATTAACTGAATTTAATACATGATTCAAATATCACTACACACCAAAGTTATACTCAAATCTAATGTTACATGTGCAACGCATTAGAATGGAAGCCTTCGGGTGAAGTGAGATGCACACAGGGTAAAGGCAAATATGATTGAATAATATAAGAGATAAGCTTTTACCAATAATGATCGGTTGCCATGGACCAAAGACATGATGTTCTCACCGTATACACCTATGGGAACAGATAAAGAAATATGTGGTAAAGCATCCAAGAAAATAATGAACAAAGAGGAGTGCTTGAGACATGTTCTATCAGAGAACAACATTTAATAAAGTTAATTAAATCTGCCCAATGTTGTCAAAGAATAGACAGAGGAAAAGAAAAAAACAGCCCTGAAGTAAAGCCTACTATGTCTAAATATGACAGAATTAAATCTAAAATAAAATTCTAATCTAAAAGATAACTGCCCACATACATACACACACTTCATTCTCTCTCATGGTATTTGAAGTCTGGTCATTCTTCCTCTGGCTCACGTCAATAGAAAGAATAATTTGACAATTTCTTTTTGTCCACTGCCAAACAAAGATCTTATAATGCTGGCTTGCTCAGTCCCTTTTTTCTCTCCTAGATAAAACTGGGCATCCTGAAAAGGAAAAAATTTGACTCATAAGGATAAGGACAGTGGATGAGAAACAAAGAAGAGGTTTTTAATACAGAAAAGAGGAAGGGGAAATTTATTTCTTGAAGAACAGGCAGTGAAGTAGAACACACTATATAAATAATCTGTCCTCCAGGGTGAAACTGATGCTGGCTGCTGTAACGAACAGACTTGACGATCTTAGTCAATGTGGCATCACTGTTCAACATCACTCAGATGCTATTTGAGCCTTTGTTGTCCAGTATCATGGCTGCTAGCCACGTGCAGCTCCTCAGCAACTGAAATGTGGCCAGTCCAAGTTTGATTTTGAACACTTAGTATGAAAAAAAGACTGCAAATTATCTCAATTATTTTTATATCAAAAACATTTTAAAGTGATAATATTGTGAATATATCGGGTTAAATATATGTTTAAAATTAATTTCACTTTCTTTTGACTTTTTAACATAACTATGAAATGTTTAAAATTATGTAGGCAGTTAGTATTACACGGTCATGGGTCACTTTATGATGGGGATACCTTCTGAAAAATGTGTCTTTAGGTGATTTTGTCATCATGTGAATGTCACAGAATCCACTTACACAAACCTAAATAGTAAAGCATACCACACACCTAGGCTATGTGTTGCAGGCTATTGCTCCTAGGCTACAAACTTGTACAGTATGTTATTGTACTGAATTGCAGGCAATTGTAACACAATTGTAAGTATTTGTGTGTCTTAACATATCTAAACATAAAAAAGGTACAGTAAAATGATGATACTATAATCTCATGAGGTCGCCATCATATATGCTGTTGGCCATTGATGGAAACATCATTATTTGGTGCACAGCCTTATATTCATTGGTCAGCACTGCACTAAGATCTTTTTTCTAAGTAGTAACTCTAGGATTTTGGACCATTAAAATTTCTAACTGAAGTCGTTGCCTGAGCAACTTGGTAAAACTTAGCACAATAAAATCATGTATAGCCTGGATTATCATCTATATTTTGCTCACCTGAGACATAGAATGACACACAAGAGAAATACAAGGAGTCATAAGCAGAGGGCTAGTAAGTGACTGCCAGTTCTCACCATCAATTCTCTGAACAAAAAACAAGCTGAGATTTAAAACAAACAAACAAAAGAAACCTCACAAAAATCTAAAACAAAGTGCTGACCAAAATACCAGCAATTTTTCTACCATTCTTATTTCTGATTTAAAACCCAGTCTTAAAAATTTGCTGTATTAGTCGGTTCTTGCACTGCTATAAAAAAAAAATACCTGAGCCTGGGTAATTTATAAAGAAAAGAGCTTTAATTCCTCATGGTTCTGCAGGCTGTACAGGAAGCATGATGCTGGCATCTGCTGGGCTTCTGGGGAGCCCTCAGGAAACTTTCAATCATAGCAGAAGGCAAAGGGGGAGCAAGCAGCTCACATAGCCAGAACAAGAGGAAGACAGAGGGAAGAGGGAGGTACCACACACTTTTAAGTGACAGGTCTCAGGAGAACTCACTCACTATCACCAGAACTGCACCAATGGGGAAATCTACTCCCATGACCCCATCACCTCCCATCAGACCCCACCTCCAACGTGGGGGATTAAAATTCAACATGAGATGTGGGTGGGGACACGGATCCAAACCATAACATTTGCCAAGTCTCAAAAGGTTAGAATCCAGAAAAGAATGTTTATTTTTAATTTTAAAAGATTCGACTAAAGGAGAGGATGAAAGTGTTTGAGGCCTGGGTCTTGTCTAAACTCTCATTAGTAATTACCTATATTGGTCGTGCACAGTGGCTCACGCCTGGAATCCCAGCACTTTGGGAGGCCTAGGCGGGCAGATTACCTGAGGTCAGGAGTTCGAGACCAGCCCGACCAACATGGAGAAACCCCATGTTTAGTCTCTACTAAAAATACAAAATTAGCGGGGTGTGGTGGCACATGCCTGGAATCCCAGCTACTAGGGAGGCTGAGGCAGGAGAATCGCTTGAACCTGGGAGTCGGAGGTTGCCGTGAGAAGTGAAGCCACATCTCATGTTGAGATTGTGCCACTGCACTTCAGCCTGGGCAACAAGAGTGAAACTCCATCTCAAAAAAAAAAAAAAAAAAAAAAAAGGAATTACCTATATTATGTTTTTATCCAAATGTTGGAAATTAAATTTCTAGAAAATTGATTCAAATGATGTCATAATTAATATGTGCCCAGAGTATTATTTTTTTAAAAAAGAGATAATAGAAGGAACTAGAAATGTAAAGCATAACATAATTAATAGCTTAGATAACATTTTGTACATGTAATAGGAAACTGTAATAAATAAAAGAGCAGAGGCAAAATCAGACCTTTGAAGTTTTTCTTGGTAACCTCTTTTTTATGGGAACTAATATTATTTATCTTTTATGACCATTATCCCTAAGGTTGGGATTCACTTTTCAAAAGGCTGTTAGAGGAAAATATATATATTGAATTATTCTGGCTGTTAAAACCCATTTAAAAATACCAGCCCATGTAATCAAACTAATATCAGGAGTCATGAGAGACTTTTAAACTTGGTTGAAATTCTTAAGTAGAATAATTTTGGTAGGTTCATAATTTTACCACAGTGTGTAAGTTCTAGAATAACCAGCTCATTAAATAAGCTATTATATTTTGACTTACACATTTTAGTTGCAATCTTTGTCGACATTTCCTTTGGAGTGTTCCAAATGCTCTTATAAATATTTTTCATTTTTGTTGGCTTTCAACTTTTCTAGTTTCACATAAAACAAATTTAGAACTCAGTAAGTTACCAATACAAAGTATTGGATCAAATATCCAATTTTTTACACGTATTAAAATATTCATCTCACACCCTACATTCCCTGACGGCCAGTTTTTCATTCTATGTTGACAGTGGGATTGCTAAGAGAAGAAAAAACAAGGTCACTAGTTTGCATTACCTGTGGGTAGGATCTAATAAACTCCCCAAATATAGGTTATAGTTATATAAATCTCTGAACAGGCAGATCTGACATTTAATGTCCTGTTTCAATCTGTTTGGGTACCTAATTTACTTTTAATTATCTGGATGGTTTCTGCTTATAATATTCCCAGGAACGTAATTTCTATTAACTACTTATTTTAAGGTGATAATACTCGAGGTTGTGATTTTGCATGCTGACCGATGATTGAAATTAGGTAGGGATGCTTCCATTTCCTGAATGCTCCTGACTCTCCCGATGAACCTTCTGCCTTACTCTCCTTAGATGAGGAAGCCAGAGCCCCTCTGGTTGTCTCTGAGTGGACATGAACACTTCCCTGTGAGGTTCTCCATTTTTTAAAGAGCTTTGTGAAATATAACTTACATACCAAGCAATTACCCATTTAAGGTGTACAATTCAATGGCTTTTAATACATTTACAGAGTCATCTTTACACAGTTGTGTAGTACTGACACATGCCACAGCATCATGAGTCTGAACAACACTGTGCTCAGTAAAGGAAGCCCGTCTCACGCACAGAAATGCATATCCTGCCATTTCATTTATAGGAAATGTCCAGAATAGGCACATTTATACAGACAGAAAGTATAACAGAAGCCTGGGGCTTGAGAATGGGGATGCTACGAGGTACTACTTCCTTTCAGGGGTGATGGCAAGGTTCTAAAATTAGATTGTGGTGATAGAAGTGGTTTATATGAGCAATTTCCATATGAGCCTTTATTCTCCCCTCTTCATTTTGTCTTTTACTTTCTTCTCCTTCTGAAGAAGCTACATTCTTCCCCAGACTTGGCTATATCTGAAATGTGCAATGCAGAGAGAAAGGATGATTAGAGCTTGTCTGGGCCTCCAATACCTAGTGAGGTTTTCCAATATTTAGCAAGAGGTCACTTTTGTTATCTGTTCTCTTGGGCTCCAACAGCTAGAACTTCTGGTACTTTGGTAACTAATTTGGCTAAGACATCATTTTTTTCACTGATTAATATTGTCTGTTTAATAATGACCCACATTTTAAGCAGATGAGGAGCAGTTAAGAGCTCTCCGCCAGCGCCTGCCATTCCTACTCAGCTTGCCCTTTTCTTTTATATTCAAGAGACTATAGAAAGTGTCCCCAAGCCGATTATGCCAATTTCTTAATTTCACTTCAACCACATCTTTTGTTTTTTCTGTAACACTTGAAATCTTAGCAAGACTGAGTATGAGTCCATATTCACTTTTTTTTCAATCTAAGAAAGTCAAGTTTACTTAAATGGAACTATGTTCAAAGTAGAAATGTCAATTATTTATTACTTTACTTGCATTTTCTCAATAATATTTAATATAGTATTCTTAGAAAATAAGGATAACCATAAAATGATTCAATATATAGTTACCAATATATGTTCTAAATAGTTCATTTTCAATCTTGACCAGATAACCTGTCAATTAAAGTTTTAAAAATAAATTTCTTTTTAAAATATTTTACCAGGGGATATTTGAGTATTAAAATAAATTATTCTGACATTCTGCTTGGAAGGCACATGGCTTAGGGAGTGAATCTGTTCTGAATCCCTCTGTCTAAACTCCATTTTGCCCCTTTGAACCATCCAATTATTTTATAAAAGTTGTAAAATCTCAAGGGAAAGGTCCTTGTGTGGAGAAAGATCTAATGCTCACACTCATGTTAAGCACAAAAAATACAGGCACTGACCTCTATCTTTTTCTACTAACCACTGGTCTTCTTTAATCATGCATATGTGATATAAAATCATATATATGTGTGATGTTAATCATTAGTATTTAACCCTGTAAAACCCCTTTGCATTTTGTGTTTTAATATAACAACTTTTGCCCCAATATTATTACTTCATACAAGTACATTGCTTTTATTAATATGATTAAGATGGCATGTGTACCATTTAAAAAGCTATCGGTTATAGACTATAACCTTTGCTATGGTCTGAATGTGTGCTCCCAAAATTTATAATTTAAAATCTAAATTTTCAAGGTGATGGTATTAGAAAGTGGGGTCTTTGAGAGGTGAAAAGTCATGAGGGCAGAGGCTGAGAGAGCTTCCTTGCCCCTTCTGCCATGTGAGGTTACAGAGAGGAGATAGCTAGGAAGGAGGCTTTCCTTGGACATGAAATCCACTGGCACCTCAGTTTGCATTTTCTAACCTCCAGAACTGTGAGAAAATATTTATGTTGTTTATCAGCCACACAATATGGTATTTTGTTAGAGTAGCCTAAACGGACTAAGACAACTGTCATGCCATTTGATTCGCTTAAGTGAGGCATCACCTGCTGTGCAGTAAAAGAAAGGCATCACCTGCTGTGCAGTATAAGAAAGCCACTTCATCTCAACAGCAGCAGCCCATAGAGGATGTTAATATGGAAGAGAGGAGTCACACTGCATCAGTCAAACAAAGCATACCTGGCCTACTCAAGTCAAGAACTGCTTTTGTTTGAATGTTTTTGGCCTTCAAAACTCACGTTGAAACTGACAGTCCTCAATGTGGTAGTGATGAGAGGTGAGGCCATTGAGAGATGATTGGGTCACAGGGGCCCTGCCTTCATGAATGGATTAATGGATTATTTGGTTAATAGATTAATGAGTTATCAGGGGAGTGGGACTGATGGCTTTATAAGAAGAGAAACAGACACCTAAGTTAGCACACTCAGCCCCTCACCCATGTGATGTTCTGCACTGCATCAGGACTCTGCAGAGAGTCCCCACCAGCAGGAAGGTTCTCACCAGATTCAGCTCCTCAACTCTTGGACTTTTCAGCTTCCCTAACTGAAAGAAATAAATACCTTTTCTTAATAAATTGCCTGGCTTCAGATATTCTGTATAAGCAATAGAAAATGAACTAAGACAATCACTCAACAAATATGGTCAACATCATCACCCTAATCACCTTAATCATTCTTGATATTTTTATTGTGAAACACCCTAATTTTTTTTTTTTTTCATCCAAGCCTTAGTCAAAAATCTTGTGTAACTTTAAGGTACGTATATGTTAGTGAAAAGAATTAATATGAATGAGGAAACATGACCTAATAAAATAATTTTAGTTTTCATTTAATATATGTGAACACCAAAAATAAAATCATAAAGTCAGTTTCTAATTCCCTTTTGACATTTCTAGCATGGAATGCAAAACAGACTAAAGAAGATTTCTTTTTAGGGATCTTTATAAAATCAATGTTCCTCTAACTATTTATATATCATCTATATAATAGACAAATAAAACAAATTATAGTTATTTATGTATTTAAAATTAATTCTAAGATTGACTAATCTTTTATGTTATTTATTTATTTATTTATTTATTTTTGAGACAGAGTCTTGCTTTGTCACCCAGGCTGGAGTGCAGCGGCATGATCTCAGCTCACTGCAACCTCTGTCTCCCAGGTTCAAGTGATTCTCCTGCCTCAGCCTCCCAAGTACCTGGGACTACAGGTGTGCACCACCAGGTCTGGCTAATTTTGTATTTTTAGTAGAGATGAGGTTTCACCATGTTAGCCAGGCTGGTCTTGAACTCCTGACCTTAGGTGATCCACCAGTCTTGGCCTCCCAAAGTGCTGGGATTAAGGCATGAGCCACTGTGCCTGGTCTGATTAATCTTTTAAATGTTAAATGTATTGAAGTCTCTAGATGAATACTTTCAAAAGGAGGCACAATAATATGATAATCACACAACTGATTACCATATATAACAAAAATATTATAGTGGTACAAATTATTGTAATATAGCTTAGACAAAACCATCTCTTATTTTTATTGTTTATATCTTAACCTACTCAATGATGTAGCGAGGGTTGAGTCTATGAGTGTATAGTGAACTTTTTTTTTTTTTTTTTTTTTTGAGGCAGAGTTTTGCTGTCGTCACCCAGGCTGGAGTGCAATGGTGCAATCTCAGCTCACTGCAACCTCTGCCTCCCGGGTTCAAGCAATTCTCCTGCCTCAGCCTCCCAAAGTAGCTGGGATTACAGGCACCCATCACCATGCCCAGCTAATTCTTTTGTATTTTTTAGTAGACATGGGGTTTCACCATGTTGGCCAGGCTGGTCTTGAACTCCTGACCTCAAGTGATCCACCTGCCTCGGCTCCCAAAGTGCTGGGATTACAGGTGTGAGCCACCATGCTCGGCCGAGTATATAGTGAATTTTATAGCTTTTTAAAATGTCCTACTCTGCCAGGATAAACTGTGGCATTATTCAGTATTATCAAATTAGGATTCTCAAGTATTTTAGTATCTTTTTGTTTTAAAAAGCCAAGGATAAATTCCTAATATTTGCTTTGATAAAATCACTCTATTTATAGTGTAAACTGGAGACTTTTTTCTTTTTACCCACATTGTTCATATATGAATTATTTTACCCAAGTCAGTCATCCAGAAAAAGTGAGTTTAATTTGGGATTATGCTACAGTAATCATGTAAATTAATAGAAGATTTTTCAAGTTTGCGTGTCTATATAGTTTCTCATTATACTACTACTATTTATGTATTTTTACATTTTTTTAAAAATAAGACACATTCTTTATTTCTTAATATCTATATAGCTTAAAGATGTGTATTCCTGCGCTTACCAAATGACACGAGAATGATTTTTTAAAAAGCAGTTTGTAGCACCTCAACCTGACCACTGGATTTCAATCTCCACTGTTACTACAGTTTATTTTACCAAACAAATCTTCTGTCACTTTTTGGATTTTTGCAGGTAAAAATATCAGCTTCACATTCAGAATGAACAATAAAAACTTATCATGTAAGATTTTTTACTAGGATTCCCAAGAAGTTGGTAAAATTAAAACAAAATAAGATAAATGTGTTTACTAAATATTCCCAGATAATACCAGAAACTCAACTCAGTTCCTGATTTAAAGAAAAGAAAAAAAAAGAGCCTCCATTCCAAAGGGATTTCACTATTGATTGAATCTCTTTCCCAGAAAGTCACAAGCAGAATCGGCAATTGTGACAGATGTCTTACATCTTGAGATTGCTAGTTGGAGTTAGGGGTTGCGGTGGCGTTTGGTAGTGGTGTCACCTGGTGTAGGAAACTGTCACTCAATCACAAAGTCCAGGAACATTGTTGCAGGATTTGCAGATATGTGATCATGGTATATTTTAAATGTCCAAAAAAAAAAAAAATCTTATTGAAGGGATTACGAAGAGTCATCACATGCATAACTTTTTTTTTTTTTAATTTTTTGAGATGGCGTCTAGCTTTGTCACCAGGCTGGTGTGCAGTGACACAATCTCAGCTCACTGCAACCTCCGCCTCCCGGGTTCAAGTGATTCTCCTGCCTCAGCCTCCCGAGTAGCTAGGATTACAGGCATGTGCCACCATGCCCAGCTAATTTTTGTATTTTTTTTTTTTTTTTTTTAGTAGAGACGGGGTTTCACTATGTTACCCAGGATGGTCTCGATATCCTGACCATGTGATCCACCCGCCTCGGCCTCCCAAAGTGCTGGGATTACAGGCATAACCCACCGTGCCTGGCCACATGCATAACTTTTTAAGCTAAATATTGATATTAGTGGTATTATATAAGTTTACTTTTAAAAGTCAAAACTCACATTCAACTATTTCTACTTATTATGCCCAAAATTTACAGCTTTGATTATTAGACAGAGTCATCTGTGTTTCAGCATTGAGCTAACACAAGCTCATTCCAGAACCTGCTATACTCATATTCCACAGCATATTATACACAATGAAAAATATTCTTCAGAAGCAAATTAATCTGTGTCATTGATCTCTTTTCCTTTTGGTTCATCCATCCATCAACATGGTTTAATTTCCTTTATGAGAGTAACTGATGTTGACCAGACCAGGTGTAGCATTTTTCTGATTCTTGAAGCTGGATGGGGTGTGTGTTAGGCCTTTCTTGCACTGCTGTAAAGAAATACCTGAGGCTAGGGAATTTTATAAAGAAAAGAGGTTTAATTGGCTCATGATTCTGCAGGCTGTGCCAGCATAGCTCCAGCATCTGATTCTGGTGAGGTCTCATCATGGTGCAAGGCAAAGGGAGCAGGCACGCACATGGGAGAGCAGGAGCAAGGGGACCTGGGGAGATGTTACACACTCAAAAAAAGAAAAAGATGTATGGTGAGAACTCATTGTCATGAGGACAGCACCAAGCCATTCATGAAGGATCCACACCCATGACCCAAACACCTCCCACTAGGCCCCGCCTCCAACACTGGGGATCACATTTCAACATGAGATTTGGAGGGGACACGCATCCAAACTGTATCAGAGTGGGAGATGTTAAATTCTCCAGGATAGAGGTGCGAAGTCTGTCATCCTTAAAATCGGAGAGACCGATTATACCAGGCTCCCAAGTAAAAACCCAAAAGGACACACGAGAGGAACAAGACTTTCTTGCCTATTACTGCATAACACATTACTCTCAAACACAGTGTTGTAAAACAACAACTTGTTTACCTGTTTAGTTTCCCTTTTATTTTCTGGGTCCCAAATTCTGGGAGGACTGAGCTACGCTGCTCTTATTTGGCTTCTCGTAGGTTGCTGTAGCCGGATGTTGGCTGGAGCTGCAGTCATCTTAATGTTCTTCTGGGCTGGATGGCCTAGATTGTTCGCTCATGTGGCTTACAGTTACTACTAGCTGTCAGCTGCAGGTCAAGCTGGGCCATCGACAGGAAAATTGAGAATTTAGACACGGCCTGAAACCCTTCGGGTGCAGTGTCTGAGGATATTCGGTATTCTCACATAGCAGTTACTGATTTCCCTGAGAAAGTAACTCAAGAGTAGCAGGTAGAAATTGTGTGGCTTCTTAAGATTCAGTGTCAGAAGTTACATAGCATTGACTGTGTGCATTCTATTTTTGAAAGACAACACAAACATTCCTAGATTCAAGGGGGAGGGGGTTTAGATTCACCCTCTTGATGGGATGTGACAAGACCACATTGTAGAATAGAATGAGGGATGGCAAACTTATGCAACCTGCAACCGTCTTTGGAAAATACGATCTGTTGCAAGGGATGCATCTGAAGATAGACTGAACCTTATTATAATTGTAGCCCAGACATGACCCAGCTAATGCTCTAACTGGCTTGAAGTAATAGGAAGTGTCTGGTGGAAGATAATTGTTGCCTCCTCTAAGATTTATACAAATGTAGGTGCCTCAGTAGACAGCTGCAGCTGAGTTGCCAGCCAAGGGTCCGTGTCAACTGCAGCCACGTGTGTATCAGAACTTCCAGACTTTTTATTTTTTGCTAGTTTGAAGATCGTGAAATGTTTCTTACTGTGATTTTGATGGCCATTTCTATGATAACTAGTAAAATTCACACCTTTTAATATGCTTATGTTTCATCAGGCTTTCTCTACTATGAATTTTCTTTAATAACTTTTGCACATTTTCCTATTGGGATTTTTATTATTACTTTTTAAAATGTCGTTGAAAGTGAATTATATACTCTGAAAACTATTCCTATATTGGTCATATGTATTACAAATTTCTTTATCAATTTCATCAATTCAAGGACAACTGTGACTTGTCTTTTCACGGAAATATTTTTAAAATTAAATATAGAATATTTTATCAACATTTTTAAAAGATTGTTTGTGTATGTATTTTGTGGAAATCTTCCACTCCTATAAGGCCATAAAGATACTCTCTGTATTGACCTCTGAAATCTTCAGTATTGCTTTACATAATTAGGTGTTTACTTCTCCTGGACTTGGTTTACACATCTTACATATGGTAGGGATATACACTTTGATTCCATAAGAATGATGAATTTTTCCAGCATCATTTATTGCATACGCTCTTCAAACATATGTGCAAGTTTCCCTATGTATGTGAGTCTGTTTCTAGCATGTCCTTCTGTTCTGTTGGTTCATTTCTTTAACCTTGCATTAGTACACATTATCTCAATTACTGTAACTATTTCAATTTGTTTTGATAGATAAAAAGAAGCTCTCAACTTAATATCTCTTTAAGAATCATTATGACTATTATCAGCCATTTCTCTTTCACATACATTTTAGACTCGGATTTTCAAGATTCAAACACATATATAGACATCTGTTGCAATTTTAATTACAATTACATTGAATATATAGGGAGAATTTAAATTATAAAATATTGAGAATTCTGTAAATGAACAGGGTTTATTTGGCCATGCATAAATGCATGGCCCATAGTTTAATGATATTTAATGAAGTTTTATAATTTTCTCAAAAAAGGCCATGCATACCTTTTCTTAGGTTGATTTGTGGGAACTTTATAATTTTGGTTGCTATTGCAAATTGTTTTTTAATTAAATTTATACTTTTATCTTCTGTTTATAAGAATTTAATTAATTTTTCTAAATGGATCTAATATCCAGCACCATTATAGAAATGCTTATTAATTTTCTAGATTCTTCTGTGGATTTTCCTAGGTTTCCTACTGAGACTTATTAATAGAAATTATAATAATATTATTCCTTCCTTTCCAATTTTTATGATTTTTTTCTTACTGTATTGGTAAGGACTGCCAACAGAAATATTAAATTAAAGCAATAATAGCAGACATCCTTATTTCAGGACTGCTTTTTTAAACTTAGTGTCTAGAAAATATTTAATGGCATGAATTAATATTCATGATTTTATGTGCCAATTATAAAATGCCAATTATAAAATAATAAAATCTGATCCTAATTTTAAAATGCATTTTAAAATTAGTCACAGAGCTCTCTGTCTCTCTCTCTCTCTCTCTATATATATATGAATTGTATACACATTTTTTCTTGTCTATTTAAAAGAATATTCAAAAGGACTTTCTGTGCATGTGTGTGTGTGTATTGCATTTCTACAGTGGACCCAAAGCTAAAGACAGTGTGACATGTTTTATTCTCATTATAAAGAGTGGTTCAGGACACCCATGCAAGCTTAGATATTTTTAAACTGGTTCTGACATAGTAACCCATCACCTACCTTGAGGGATGAAGTGAATCGAGGCTGAAAAATATCTAATGAGAGAGAGAGAAAGAGACAGAGAGAGAGAGAGCTACTTGAGAGAGAGTAGTTGAAATGCTGTGACATTTCCTTCCTCCCGTCTCTAAGATTCCATGGAGAATGACCAATTTTGGATTATGTGCTTTTTCTTTTCTATGCCTAAATGCATTTTAGAGTATGGAGTTGGGGGACTTAGAAAGCTTCTGATACACTTTGAGTCCACAAAAGATATATTTATGTCCTTTGTCTATCAGTGCTTTTTGATCATCCCAATTCAAATGACAAGGAAGGCTTTGATAGAACAACAGGGAAGAGTTCAAACTTTGGGAATTTGGGGGACCAATGTCCTGGTGCCTGGCTCCCAGCAGGAGAAAGTTGAAGGCAGAAGTTTGACTATAGCTGCCTTGCTGAAAGCCGAGCAGAGGGAAGTGGCAGTAATGGAGTGTGTTACAATCCCAGTGAAAGCAGCAGGAAGGAGAATGTGTTGGGGGCTGACTTCAAACTCTGTGAAAGTAATCTGGACTATGACTATCTTCAAATGAGCTCTGCTGAATAGAACCAACTGGATCAGTTAAGGGACCTTGAGATAGAGGCTGTTTTTTTTTTTTTTTTCTTCCACCTAAACGTGTTTCTCATTTTATGGTATAAAATGATTGGTAGGAAACAGCCACCCAAATAAGGTCTTCATTTCTCAACCTGCGTCACATCTTTTCCAAATGGCATGTAAAAAAAAATGATGAAAGTCACTTTAAGTCCACAGCATTTAAGAAACAGGTGCCTTCTCCAGGTAATCTTTCTGTCTCTTCTGGATGAATGTAGACATGTCTAAGTCCACCAGAACGTGGTGGAGTCACATGATTTAAGAAACTTTGTCCTCTGAATCATCACATGGAAGAGAATCACCATCAACTAGAAATATTGAACTATTACTTAACTAAGAAATGAACTTTGTTTTGAAAAGTCACTGAAACTTAGAACATTTTTCTAGACAGCAACTAATGTGACCTATAAATACAAACATTTCAGAAGGGGGAACACTATGGACATGTGAAGCCTGAGAGGGCACCCAGAACCCTAATGTGGGAGAGAATGTCAGAGAGCTCCTATGAAGAGAATCTTGGTCAGAGTGTACCTGCACCCAGAAGGTCAGAAACAATGAGTAGTAAGTAGAGCGGAGGATTGAAAATTAAAAACGGTAACCGTAGTAAGTATAGTTATATCAGTTTCCTATTGCTTCTGTAAAAAATTACTACAAATTTCATGGCTTAAAACAACACAACTTTATTACCTCACAGGCTTGTTGTTGTTGTTGTTGTTGCTGTTTCTGAGACAGGGTCTCACTCTGTTGCTCAGCCTGGAGTGCAGTGGCACGATATCGGCTCACTGTAGCCTTGACCTCCCAGGCTTAAGGAATCCTCCCACCTCAGCCTCCCAAGGAACTGGGACTACAGGCATGTACCACCATGCGTGGCTAATTTTTGTATTTTTTTTGGTAAAGATGGGGTTTCACCATATTGCCCAGGCTGGTCTCAAACTCCTAGGCTGAAGGGATCCACCCATTTTGGCCTCCCAATATGCAGGGATTACAGGCACATGCCACTGCACAGTTTTTATAGATCAGAAATCCCGTGTGCTTGGCTGGGTCCCTGCTTAGAATCTCACAAAGCTAGAGAAATGGTGTTAGTAGGACTGTGTTTTCTTCTTGAGGCCCAGGGAAGAATCTATTTTCATTTCCTTGCTCATTAAGGTTGCAAGCAGAAGTCAGTTCCTTGTAGTTATAGGACTGAGGTGCCCATTTCTTTTCTATTGGCTGAAGGTCTTTCTTAGTGTGTAGAGGTCACCTGCATTCGTTTGTTTATGGCCCCTTCCTCTAATCCCTTCTCACATCACATCTCTCTGACATGTCTATCTTCTTTTTCCAATTTTAAGAGCCTATGTGATTATACTGAGCTCACTTTATTCAGTCAGGACAATTTCCTCATTTTAAAGTCAGCTGATTAGTAATCTGAATTCCATCTGCAAAGTCCTTTTTGCTAGTTAACATAGCATAACCATGGGGTAACAGGATAGCACCTGCAGCAAAGGGCATGGGGTCCCAATCCTGCCTAAGTTACCAATAGACACACATTAGAATACTAATTTAGGTACAAGTCTTAGGAAGGGGAGCATATGAAAATCTGATACAACTTGAAGATATTGTATAGAACTGTATTTTAGTCTGATGAAATATTAAAAATTTGGTACAACTTGAAGATATTATATACGACTGTATTTTAGTCTGATGAAATATTGAAAATTTGATACAACTTGAAGATATTATATAGGACTGTATTTTAGTCTGTTGAAATATATCTGGCCTATCCTTGACTCTCAATAAATATCCATTGAATGACTGAATTAAGTAATTGGAACATCTATAGAATCTGCCCAAGATTTCACCTGGTGGCTATATTGAGATAATTTGGGGTAATTTCTCTCTCTCTGTATTTTAAAAATATATTTGAAATATACACCTATTTTTGGTCTTTCAAAAACATATATGTATCATTTTTAAAATTTATCAGTACTAATGGTAATTATTCTATAATAAAATATTTACAATACTTAGTGCAGTGTTGTACTAACAATCATGCATCATTCAACATTGAAGATACATTCTGAGAAAGGCATAGTTAAGTGATTTTGTCACGCAAATACCACACAGTGTATTTACACAATACTAGAGGTATAGTCTACTACACACATGGGCTATGTGGTATAGCCTATTGGTTCTAGGCTACAAACCTCTTACAGCATGTTACCAAAGTGAATGCTGTAGGCAGTTGTAAAACAATGGTAAGTATTTGTGGATCTAAGAATTTCTAAACATAGAAAACCTTCAGTAAAAATACAGTATTATAATTATATAGGACCATGTTACATATGTCGTCCATTGCAGACCAAAACCTCGTCATGTGGTGCGTAATGGTACATAAATAGAAACTGATGGTGGGAATTGAATAGACTTTTTTTTTTACCTTAGTAGTGCAATATTTTAGAGGGTGTTTTCTACATCGTTTCTAGAAGAATTGGTTTCCCACATCCTTTGTGGGAGACACATTTGCCTTTATGTGTCAGTTCCAATAACACTGATAGGCTCTGTGAAGGTCTTTGCTGCACTTCATGCAGTTAAATCTTACTTATTCATTATCTGGTATGTAGTAAAACATTCAGTCAGTTCTCAGAGAATATGTTATAAGTTCTAGGAGTTCTCAGGCCTGTTAAATATCATCATTTTACAAATATCTCATCTCATGTTTCCATATATTCAAGCGTCATTCTTTTATTACTTTTAAATATCCAGGAACTTGATATGTGATATTGACTCCAACCCACTTACAAAATCTACTCACTATTTTTCTGCAAAGCCTTCCTAGAGGCCTCATGTCATTTTTTTCCCTCCCAAAGAATAACTTGTTATTGGCTAAACAATTCATATTTGTAAAAGTAATTACATTCGTAGTTTGCATTTTCTTGTCATATAGAAAGTTTGAGTTTACTTTATAACGTTTATTTTTCAATTACATTTTCACAATTAATATTTTCTCCTGACTGTTTTATTACTATTATATACAAGGCACTTGAATAATATGCTGATTTTTGCTCTGTACATTAAAAAAAAATAGTATTAAGCATCAAAATGCCTTCCACTGTTGCTTCCCACCAAATAAATTGGTATAGATTTCTTAAAGATTCCTTTATGATCACCTTCTTCTGAGGCAATGAGGATAAGAGAGTAAGTGACAGCATGTGTATTTAAAGATTATTGCTGTTATTATCTTGCCTTGAGAAAGGAGATTTAAGACTCATATCTTTTTAAACGTACAATGAATCAGAGGGAAATTGAAACGAGTTGGTGAGATTTTGCAATAAAATAGAACAAAACATATTCTGATCTCTTTAATAACAGTTAAAATGTGGGTTTCTCTCTTCTCTTTCCACTTCACAGGTTGAGGCCTTACCCCAAAGATTTGGCACATGACATGCAAGGATAGCAGAAGGAGACATTTTGGTTAGAAAAAGAAAATTCATAAAGGGTCTATTAGTATGACAGCACAAGCTACGCTTCATGTAGATATTTCAATCTTGTATTGCTCTTTTCTTTGATCTTGCAACCAAAATAGGGTCCTAGAAACCAAAATAGAAGCCCAAGGAGCTGTCTGTTTATGCAGGAAGATGTCACTAGCATTGAGTTAGCAATCAGACACACCCACCCAGAGAGAAAACAACTCATCTGTAAGAGCACCTAACCTTGGGGCCAGCAACAGGAGAATATACACTTCCTTGTCTTCTATGCATATTTAACTTGATCTGTTTTCCTTGTAAACACTGGTCCCTTATCCATATGAACATGCAAATTGACTAGGGAGGGATTTTAACAAGTATTTTTCTTCTATGTTCCGCTAAGAAAAAAGTCTTCCATCAGAAAAGCATGTCCATAATTGAAAGCTAATTCAAGTTCCTCTTACTCAACAAAACCTTTCTTGAAAGCTTTTTCATTGTCCTCTTTCTACTCACAGAGTTGTCAATAAGTTAATCTATACTACCCACCACAACGTGAAATTATATTTTGTCACGTATGATGTGCTACTATTTCACTTTTGTCAGCCTTATTTTTCAGCTTTAATAAAAGTTTTAGGGGACCTGATTTATTTTTACTATTTTGTTTCCCAAAACATATGTACTTTACCAGTCATAGCAAATACTGAAATGATTGACACATTGAAATAAATATAAGTTAGGAGATATAAATAAATATATATATATATACATATATGGTATGTAACAGAATTCAAGTGTATCTGTATATATAATTATATTTGCCTAGCATTTATTAATTATCTTAGAAGCTATGATTTTATGCTGGCTTCTTTTTCTTTATGCATAAAATCATTTCCTAGTAGCAAATTAGGTGCTTAGCAAGCGTGGGAACATCTATTACTGCTAATGAGCTGACTCATTGACTGCGATTGAAGTCATACCTCTGTGTAAGCATCTGGGGCTGAAAGTTTGCTTAAGAGAGTTTGAGATGAGCGTGGGGGAATCAATCGCAGCTGAGCCTCGGTGAACCTCTTCCTCACAGTCATGCACTCTCTTGTCCATCTAGGGGATTGTCCTTTGCTCCCTCTTCTGCATGATCCCCCACAGTCTTATTTTCACAAAGGGCAACTGAAGCCTGTTCAAAGAAACACATGGACTGGACATTACATCCGCACTTGAAGCCAAACTTCCTTATAAGGAAATGTATTCATTTTGCTGAATTCTATCTCATATAGCAAACTTGGGAGGAAAAAAAAAGTAAAGGTTATAGGTCCCTCAATATTTCAGAGTTGTAAATTTCATATGTTGAAAGTAAATTGGAACCACTTATGAAGAAAGGTAGAAAACTCTATATTTTCTTTAGCCTCTTAAAGAGGATCTATCATTATTCCAAACTAACTTACCCTTGAGAGGACAGAACATTACATCATATTTTCCTTTCTTGTCTTCTAATTCCCATTTAAACTTTATAAATCCTATGTCAATTTAGGCAGGATTCTCCAGTTGGGACTAGGTTCAGGTGCTGCGAGCAGACATACAGAAAGAAGGAGATGAAGATCTTCCCTATCTGGTATAAAGATTACAAAACTTAATTAAACTCATGGTGTGGTATGGACAAGAAGTCCTCTGTCCATCTATTCTCAAATTATGGTGGCGAAGCAAAATATATATCAAAATAATTAAGACAAATATCAAGAATGTATCTTTCTACCTTTTTTATGGGAGATATTTCTTTTTGAATGGAGCAGGTAAATAAATAGAGCTAAGCATAACGGGCAGAAAGATAAGCCAGCTTTGCTGCAGTCCTTCAATACTGACCACTGTTACATTTACTATCAGCTGCCAAGAATAAAATGAATATGACATTGACTTTTTATTGGCCGATGCCTCCAGATGGTATAATTGGTCTTGATTAATCTTACATTCATCTCCTATTGTCAGAATTCAAGGTGAAATTGAGATGCTATTAAGCTCATTTATTTCTGAATTTTTTTGTGTTTCACCTCTTATTATGAGTAGTCACTAAGTCTTTCCCTTGTCTCTCCACACAATGTCTCAGGCACCCTTTTGACAACTACTTAATTACAGACCTTTACCATCTCTCGTGATTAAACTATGAAACTAGTGTGGACGCGCACTGGCTAAACTATTGTCTCATCAGTTACATGCATATAACTTATGAAATTAATCATTCATTTTATTTGTAGTAAAATTATCCTTTAGAGCAAAGAGATATAATTTTGTGTATCTTTCATGCATCTTTTATCCAATGATTTTATTTATCTTCCAAATTGTTTATGAATCCCTATAT
The DNA here is from genome assembly GCF_000001405.40 of Homo sapiens. NCBI lineage: Eukaryota > Metazoa > Chordata > Mammalia > Primates > Hominidae > Homo > Homo sapiens. The sequence goes on along the minus strand of NC_000004.12, from coordinate 179,697,161 downwards.
TTTTTCATCTTTATCCTTCCCTAGCCTAGTTTTGATGTGTCATTCCTTCACCAAATATGTATTGACAACCTGGTGGGTTGCTAGGTTAGGTCCTAGTTTGGGTGTCTTTAAATCATTCTTGAAAAATGATTTAAAGTGATTCTTTTATTTAATAATATTAAAATGAAGTGATTCTTTGATTTAATAATAACAAAAGCACTGATTCCTACCAGCATTCCTTTGACCAAAACATGATTCACTTTTAACACATGCACACGTCTCCTAACAAACATGGAATATTTTAAGTTAGCAGCCTCAGCAAAGGATCTTGATTTCACTGGTAGAGCTCCATACACTGGGAACAGTCGGAGAACAAAAAATGTGCTAATGAGACATCAAAATAACTTATGTATATAATTCTGCCAGGCATCAACAGCTTTGGGAGAGGATTTAACGTATCTGAAAAATAAAAAGGCCATTTAGCTGGCCTCTGGTCATTTATTCCTTGACGATACAGCTGCTGTTCCATGTTGTTACCAGCTATGAAGTCAACTCTTGAAGTGAGGATGCAGGCCAAGCTTCAACATGCTGCTGCCATTTCACAAATGATTGGATTCATGAGATGTTTAAAGAAAACAAAGGTTAGGGCTTTCATGGAGTAGAGGGTTTAGGGAGAAGAGATCATAAATATATTACAAAAGACAGGTGATAAATTAATATGAAGCAAGCCTATTGGAAAACGAAATATCCTGGTGATCCTCATCCCCTTGAATTTGGGCTTTTGGTAATCAACACTAGCTGATTTGGCTGTGTGTGAATGATGTCAAATATTCCAATTTTATATTATTTACCTACAAAACTGTGAACCAAAAAGCACATCAAACAAAAATCTCTATGGAGCAAAACCCATGCTAAGAAATATAGTGTTTCCAAGTCCCCAGAAGGACCAACAAGTACATTTTAATAATTACTGTCTGACATTTTGCTGATTGTTTTCTATTTGGTCCACGTGGCCTTTGTCCTTTTATGCCCCCTTTTCTGTTTCATTGTATATTAATCATGTATTTTGTTATTTTGTTTAATTGCTTCTATTTGGGTTTTGTTAGAGCTTTTAGTGTTGTGTCACACCATAGAAATAATAAAATACACACTTGACTTATGTGAGTCTATCTGAAAATAGTTTTCCACATCTCAAATAATGTGTAAAATGGTATAATATTTTAAATGCATTTAGTGGCCTCTTTCTTTTTGTGTCCTTGTCTGCATTTTAATTCTACATAATTTAAAAACCAAGACAATATTATTACCTTTATTATGATTGCTGAAATAGTGAATATTCTTGGCCGGGCATGGTGGCTCATGCCTGTAATCCCAGCACTTTGGGAGGCCAAGGCAGGCGGATCACAAGGTCAGGAGATCGAGACCATCCTCACCAACATGGTGAAACCCCGTCTCTACTAAATAATACAAAAATTAGCTGGGTGTGGTGGCACGTGCCTGTAGTCCCAGCTACTTGGGAGGCTGAGGCAGGAGAACCACTTGAACCCAGGAGGCGGAGCTTGCAGTGAGCCAAGATTGCGCCACTGCACCCCAGGCTGGGCGACAGAGCGAGACTCCATCTCAAAAAAAAAAAAAAAAAGTGAGAATTCTTATATACAATAGTCCCCGCACCTTTATCTGTGGTTTCAATTTCTGCAGTTTCAGTTATCAGCAGTCAACCACAGTTCAAAAATATAAACTGGAAAATCCAGAAAAAAACAATGTCTAAGTTTTAAATTGCACATGGCTCTGAGTAGCCACGATGAAATCTCATGCTGTCATGCCTGTTCAACCCAGGATGTGAATCATCCCTTTGGCCAGATGTCCATGCTGTGTGCGCTAGCTGCTCGTTAGTCTCTTAGTAGACTTCTCAGTTAATAAAATCAAAAAGACATAGTATATATAGGGTTTTGTACTATCTGAGGTTTCAGGCATCCACTGGGCATCTCTGATCACATCTCCCTTGGAAAAGGGGGAACTACTGTATTTACCCATATATTTACAACGTGTAATGATGTTTATTCCCTGTTATACTTTAATGCCTCCAAAAGAGTTTACCTTTAGTATTTATTTTACTTTGGGCCTGTCAGTAATGAAGTCTAAGATTTGTTTTTGATAACATTTATTTATTTTGATTTAATTTTGAAAGCTATGTTCACTGGTTATAGCATTCTATATGGACAGTTTGTTTTTTTCGTTCAGCACTTTAAAATATTCCATTTCATTATCTTTTGATTTCTGTAATTTCCCTTGAGAAGTCAGCTGACCTTCTTGCTGTTAGTCCCTCCGTCTTTTTCAGTGATTTTCTACTATATACATATTGAGGTGAGGTTTTATTTACATTTATTCTTCTTGGGGTTTGATGAGTTTCTCCAATCAGTGGGAATATATTAATATCTTTCACCAGATTTTAAGAATATTTTTCCTATTTTTTCTCATCACTTTTCTTTCTTGCTATGACTTCACTGACCAATATATTAGAAATTGTTATTCTCTAAAATGTATATATTCGGTTTTTTTGTATTATTTTAATGTTTTCCCATCTGTGCTTTAGTTTAGATTTTATTTCTTAACTAAACTGTCTTCAAGTTCTTTAATCTTATCTTTGTCAGGGCTCAGTTGCTGTTAAACTGATCTCACGCGTCCCTAACTTTAGGTAGAATTTTGCACCCCTAGAACGTTTGTTAGGTTGGTGTGTATAGATTCTAATATTCTGTTCTTCATACTTCTTTTTATCCACAGGGTCTGTGTTTTTCTCTATTTTCTTTAACATATTAGTTATACTTGTTTGAAAATCTGTGCCTGCTCACTCTAATATTTGGATCATCTCTTTGATGTTATTTACTATCTTATCTTCAGATTACTGATAAATTTTTCCTATTGTTTTGCTAGCCTAGTAATTTTTTATGTATATTATGAGTGATACTCTACAGATCCTCTAAAGCTTAATTTCCTCTAAATAATGTCATGTTGTTTTATGAGAGACAGTCAAATTACTGGTGGAGATTCTTGGTACTCTCAGGATTTTGATACAGGTTTTGTTAGGATGTGCCTATTTCCAGTTTTGTTCTTGCTCCTAAAGAGGAGTACTTGCTCTTAGGGCACGGTACTCACTCCTATCAAGCAGCCTTTCAAATAAGTACCTGAGCTATCCTCAAAGGTCTTTTCAGGCTGGTGGGGTCAAAATTCTACCATCTCTATGACACTGTGTGAATGCTTTAATATTTGTTCAACTTTTAGCCTCCTAGGAGCTATTTTCTGAGATCTCTCCCTGCACACAATATAACTTAAGAATCAACCAAAGATTGGAGACGAATCCTAAGACAGATATTGAACCTTGGAATAGAAATTTAGGGAAAAAAGTCCCAATGAAGGTAATATGAGTCTGAAGATCTTTGTATGATATGTTAACAATTTCCAGGATTGCCCACAACAGAAAAGCACTAGGCAAGGAGATTTTTATGCTGAGGATGTGTGAATAACCTTGAGATGTAAGATGTTTTATCAATTAACTAGAGAGAGAGAGAGACGAGAACCAGGTTAGCACACCATCCTGGCTATGCTAAACAGTTTTAATTGTATCCACTAGAAGAAAGGGAGCTACTCATTTCTCTTTTAAGAAGGAGAGGTAGTGGTTGATATTTAAAAAAGCAATTTGAAGTTTGCGTAAAATGGACCAAGTAGGAACAGTTTTTAGGAAGGTAGTGCATTCATCCAGGACGAGAATAATTAGCACTCAGCTAGTGATGTAAGGTTAGAGAGTTGTGAAGGATATTTGTGAAGTAGAGTAGAGAAAAACTGATAAATAATTGAGTATAAATAGGAAGGAGAAAAGGCATTTAAAACGCTTCCATTTCCATTTCTAATGACTTGTCCATTTCCAGTTTGGATAATTGGGCATATTTTGTAACAGTAAGATGGGAAAGAGAATGAGCGAATTCTATGAGAAAGGATTTTAGTTTGGTCTTGACACATTAACACGAGTATTTAATTTTATTCTAGGTGTAAAGTGTCTCAGTACATACTCCAAATATGGGCTGTAGGTTAAGAAAACTATCTAGAAACAGAGTTTTAAAAATCATACGAGAGATTTTGATTATGAAGACCATAATAATGTAAGAAATACATAAATATAATAGGTATTTAATTGTTTGTAAATAGTGATTTCAACAGTCTAAAATATTATGTACAGCTTTATGTGCATATTTGTATGTAATTGTATATATTTCAGCAAATGTTTGTTGACAGTTTAAAATGATCCAAGAATGATGCAAATGGCTGAAATTAGAAATAGCAACAAGATTCTCCCCTTCTTAAAAATATAGAAAGAAAAGCTATTAAATATTTATTAGGATTATATTACTAACATTTTACTTCACGGGTTGTCAATTTCATGTAAAGGATGTCACAGCAAACATAAGCAAAATTTTAAAGTAAAGATGATGTGTATTCTGTATAAAAACATGAAGTACTTTCAGATATTCACACTCATTATAGCCTATGCAATAAAAATTAATCCCACACATAACTGCAGTTCCATTTTTGCTGACTTTCAAAAGCATTTGGAGTAGCTGTTAGGAAAATACAGAGAAATCTATATGCCTGCTAAGACTCATTTGTTAGGCTTCAGGGTATAGCAAGTTCAATCAGCAATGACTGTCAGATTAGATTCAGATAACATTTAGTGTGTATGATCACTGGTATTTCCTTTATCCTTTCTGCAATGAGGATTAATTGGGTTCATGACCTAAGCAGGGAAAAAATGCCAATAGTTGTGCCCAATGGACATTTAAGTCTAGACGTTATCTTCTTGTGGCAATAGTGCTGTTCTATACATATTAAAAGGAACCTAATAAACTAAAGAATGGACTAAAATGTATAATTAACACACCAAATAAAGTATGCTGTTACATTCATTTAGGTATTTTAAAAACTGGCATTTTTTTTCTCCATAACAGTGGCAACACATTGAAGTAGACATGACACAAAATGCAAATTTATTTTGCAAAAAGCTTTTGAAAATAACTATCCATCTACCAAAGTAAGGGATTTTTTTCTTTTAACATTTTGATTTCTTATTTTGACTTGTTGTGAGGCAGCCATCATAGGCTTGTACATGATGTGAGAGGAAAAAAAACTTTGAACTTGTGTAACTGTGTTAAGAGAATCCTGAGTTGCCTGACTTCATGAAAAATAATGGACTATAAAAAAATTACAAAGATGTTAAGAAAAAGCAGAAAGTGCAAAAATGATGGCGGTATGCAACAGAATTCACATAGCAAGCTTAAAGTTGCTGTAAATTCCTTTACAAAAGTAAAAGGGAAAATAAGATGGATAAAAGCCATTCAAGACAGGTTAGATGCAAAAAAAAAAGACTGTAGTTAAGCTGTAGCTCACCTACTAACAAAAACCAATTAAATATTTCCCATCTTTCTAAGCTTCTTATTACAAAACAAAGGAAAAATTCTTAGATTGACATTTTCTGAAACTGGCATATCTTTAAAAACTACATAATGATAAGCCTTCTAATTAACTTGGATATTGAAGCCAATGATTCATTATACTTTCATGTTTTTTTTTTTTTTAAAGAAATGCTATATCCTGTCCTGAAAGTGCTTTTATATATACTTTGTTGTAAGTTGAAGGGGGAGAAAGTAAATATAGATTCCCGCAAAGATGAAGTGTACACCAGAAGCTTAGAGTCAGATAAATGATCTTGGAAAGATGTGATAAATTTAGTATTATAAAAATCTCCACTTGAGAGTGACAGGAAATTGAAACAAAGTGTATAGAAAAAGTGCAGTCTTTAAAGGTCCATTTATAAATGTCACAGTATCAAGGAAACCTATTTCTAAAGACAGAATTTCAATTCATTTTGGTGTTAAGTGTCAGTGACAAGTGACACAGGTCAATCCTCCGTCAATGACAAAAGACAAAAGAATGGCAAATATTTACAAATATACTAAACTACTCATGGAAGTTCATATAAACAGCAACTACTTTTTAACTCAGCCCTGAATGGTGTAATTGCTTATTATTCATCCTGACCTTAGAATAGAAACTCATCTTTAACAGTGGCAGCAGGACTTACCTGATATCCTTTCCCTGGGAGCAGTTACTGGATCCCTTTATTAACTCATAGCAAGAATTGCAGGTCGGGAGCAGTGGCTCATGCCTGTAATCCCAGCACTTTGGGAGGCCGAGGCGGGTGGACCACTTGAGGTCAGCAGTTCAAGACCAGCCTGGCCAACATGGTGAAACCCCGTCTCTACTAAAAATATAAAAATTAGCCAGGCATGGTGGCGGGCACCTCTAATTCCAGCTACTTGGGAGACTGAGGCAGAATTGGTTGAACCCGGGAGGTGGAGGTTGCAGTGAGCTGAGATGGCGCCATTGCACTCCAGCCTGGGCAACAAGGGCGAAACTCCATCTCAAAAAAAAAAAAAAAAAAAAAAAAAAAAATTGCATTTGGCTGACTAGTTGTGGGAAGTGATATATGAGTAATTTGTTACTAATAGTTGTCCTTTCAAACAGTAAAATTCCATACACTAGATAGATTTTAAAAGATATTCTTCTATGACATGTATTTGAGTATTTCAAATGGCCCCTTTTAAGGAATAATAATTCTGTCTCTGTTGAAACACATCAAGACAACTTTAACATGTAATTCTTATAGAAGTCAAAGAGGAATAATTTCTTTTGATCATAATTTTTTCCCCAGACAATAATATATTTTCAAGAAAAAACAAGTATGTAAATAAAAAAGAGATAAAATTTAGCAAAATCTCACTATCCAGAGACAATTATAGTTGATATTTTGGCGAAAGTTTTAGTAATTATTTGTTCTTAACAGATACCATTCTTATTCTAGTAGACTACTAAATAATATATACAGCATGATCCTGATGTTTGTAACAGGATCATGCTGTATATACTATTTAGTAGTCTTCACTTCTTTTTACTCAATAATATACAAGAACTGACTTTTTTTCAAAATGTTCCGGTTAGTATAATTGTCAAACATGATATAGATATGACTGTATATTTAGTTGCTCAAAAATGGTTCACCTTTTCATGGTTATTTGGCCACTAAGTGTCTGAAGATAAGTATTATTGATATTAATGCAAGCATGGTTGTGTTACTTTCTATGAAGGTAATTTCCTAGTTCAAACAAAAATCTTTTTTTATTTTTATTTTTATTTTTTGAGACAGAGTCCCGCTCTGTCGCCCAGGCTGGAGTGCGGTGGTGCCACATTCTCCTGCCTCAGCTTCCTGAGTAGCTGGGACTACAGGTGCCCGCCACCACGCCCGGCTAATTTTTTGTATTTTTTTTTTTTTTTTTGAGCTGGAGTCTCGCTCTGTCGCCCAGGCTGGAGTGCAGTGACGTGATCTCTCAGCTCACTGCAAGCTCCGCCTCCCGGGTTCATGCCATTCTCCTGCCTCAGCCTCCCGAGTAGCTGGGACTACAGGCGCCCGCCACCACGCCCGGCTAATTGTTTGTCTTTTCAGTAGAGACGGGGTTTCACCGTGTTAACCAGGATGGTCTCGGTCTCCTGACCTCGTGATCCGCCCACCTCGGCCTCCCAAAGCGCTGGGATTACAGGCGTGCGTCACCGCGCCCGGCCCAAACTAAAAACTTTTTTGAAATAAAGGATAATTTAAAAATTGTACCACGTTTTGTGTGTTATCACAAAGAATATATTTTTTATGGCTTTACAATAATTATTGTATTGTCATAAATACAAACCTGAAAGTAACTAACAAGTAAAAAACACCGAGGTTACTGGCCAAAGTTTACAGAAAGAATACTGTTTCTTTCAGTGCAAAATTATGGTCTTTAGTTGTGGAATAGCTATACTTCAATTCCCATTGAGTTCTTACCATAATTAACAGCAGTAGAATCAAAGGCAAATTTTCTACAAATAAAACATAAAGGACATCTAGATTAGGGAAGCATAGCATTTTTGGTGAATTCTAGCAAAGTATGAGGAAGGTTAATATCTTTTTAGCACACATATATACATATGTTTAAACACAAAATGTATCCTTACAAATTTGTTAAATATTAAATATGATGCAAAGAGTAAAATGCATCTGACAGAAGGTTCATTCTACCATATATTGCCACGTGCATGAAATCTTTCACATACTAAATCTCCAAAAATGATTTTTGCTCTATGCACATATGACTCAATTAGCATGATAATGTTTTAATTAAAACGTAATAAATATTTAAAAGGTAAAAATGTAAAGGAGTACTTTTCACTTCTGGAGGGGCACATGAAATTTAATTTGCACTAGCCCACTTGAGATGGAACACCCGGAACAATGACTTGTTGGTTTTAGCAGATTATTTGTTCCCTCCTGATTTTCTGGCTAAAGAACAGAAACTTTCTAAAAATAAGCTCATATTAGTTTTGGTATTACAGCTTGACTGTGATTCACACATTCTTAAATGACTTTGTTTTTATTTAAGTCACTGAATAATTAATTTTTAAAGCTTCCTGTTTCTCTTTGTGCACAACTTTTTGACCAGCATGTTCACTGAGCATTAGATGAGACTCTCACTGGATTTTGAAAGATGTAGGGACAGCAATCGGGATTAATCCCTGTTAGATGCTTTTAGGAGATTTGAAATATTTTAAAATCTTTTTTATACTAACACCCAGACGTTTCATATTGTGGTAGCAGCCTAGAGAGTTTCACCCAGTTTGAATCTGGATGATTTTTATCCAAAATGTAAGACAAAACAACACTTCTCTTTTACAATAGTGCACTAAGTAGATTAGGCAAAAATAATTTTGAAGTGCTAAGATCATCCATTTTCTTGTCTTGCATGTAAGCTCATGATAGATTTCATAGAGAAAATATGTAACTATTTCATGAAATCAGCCTTTTATTAGTATATGGTTTTTCAAAGAATATCTGAGCTATAGTTTATTCTTTCTGTTTTACTATAGAAGCAAAGGCTCCTAAAAGATATTACTTCATGCATATGAAATGGGTTGGAAATGTCAAGGCAACATTTAAAATGGCTTGCTTCTTTTCATTTAAAATGCAAGGTCTGTTTGTCCTTGTTGACAAGAATTGGTAATTAAAGTCAATTAAGAAGAAATAGAATTTAAAAATTGATTAGGCTTTAAATGCATGATGAGTTAACTTTGTCAAGACAAGTCTAGATTTTAATATTTTTATTCTAAAGTCACAGCATTCTTATTGTTTTTCTCATTTATAAAGAGAAATAACAGAGTCTATGTTCCCTATATCCCTGGCCTTCATTATTAATTTAATGAGCTAGGCTCCAAACTGATCAATTTTTCGTCCTTACCTAGGCATTTGGACCAAATAAACCACAAGGATCACAACTCTTGTGTGGTATCGCTGCGGCATCTATCTCCCTATTAACATAAACTGTGTAAATCTATGATATTTGTTAAGTTCCCTCATATGCAAAACGCTCTGCTATGTGCTGTGATGAGATGTAGAGGAATTAGAAAATGCAGGTTTTATACTTTCAGGGAATTGTAATCCATGCTTATACAAAACTGCTTTCACAATGCCAATAATAATGCTGAATTCTGCATGTTTTGGTTTTTCTCTTTTTGAATGAAAGTGATGTATGCGGTTGTTTAAAATAAAACGAAACACACTTAGAGTGAATGAAATTACCCATCGTCTTTCTACTGACTAGTCCTCAGAAAAAATTATCTTCAACCACTTATGTTTTTAATTCTCCTAATGGTTATTTTTATACCTAAATATTATGATTATATTGCTGTTTTGATTTACCAGCTATAAGCATTATTCATTTATAAACTGTAATGGAATATTCGCATATAAATTATTTATTTAACTTTTATTCTCTATTATTTAACCATTGTTATCAATTCTACTTTTTCTGATTATTATTTTTATGATTTGAAATGAAATACTTAAGTTTATTGTCTTAGTCTGCTCAGACTGCCATAACAAAATATATTGTTTCTGGCTTAAAGAACAGAAATTTATTTCTTCTAGTTCTGAGGCTGAGAAGTCCAAGGTCAAAGTGCCAGCTGATTCAGGTCCTGGTGATGGCTCTCTTCATGGCTTACAGATGGCCACCTGCTTGCTATGTCCTCACATGGTGGAGAGATAGCTGCCATGTCTCTCTTTTTATAAGAACTCTAATCCCAGCATAAAAGCCCCACACTCCTGACCTCATCTAACCCTAATTACCTCCCAAAGGCCCATCTCCAAATGCCATCATATTGGATGTTAGGGTTTCAGTATGTGAATTTTGGAGTAACACAATCATTTAGTCAAATTCATGTCCTTTGTGCATGCAAAATACATTCATTCCATTCCAGCAACATCCAAAGTCTTAACTCATTTCACATCAATTAAGATCTAAGGTCCAAAGTCTAATTTAAATACAATCTAAATCAGGTGAGACTTGAGGTATGATTTATCATGAAGCAAAACTCCTCTCCATCTGTGAACCTGCAAAACCAGACTAGCAAACCTAGCAAAGTAAATGTGCTTAGGCCTTAAAGCTTGAGAGTAATCTTTGGCTTAATCCCTCACCTTCCAGACCCACTGGGGTAAGTCTTGTGGTCCACTACGTTCTACCAAGTGAGAGCCTCATTCCCAAGACTCCAGACATCCCTGACCTCAAGACTCCAGGAAGCCATCTGGGTTTTTGAAACCCAGGTGATGGTCTCACCATTGAACTAATGAGGCAGCTCTGACAATCTCTGAATTGCCCTCGGTGCCATATATATATATACAACTAAATGTGGCATGTATCAATATCTTAGTGTACACTTAATTGGAGTAGAATTCTGGGTTTTAAGGTTGTTTTTTGCTAGTGCATAGAAAGCTTTTCTCTACTGTCATCTCACTTGTATCACAGCTGATGGCCATGTGACTTTATATTTTAGCAGTATACTACTTTTAAGGTTTATTTTTCTTTACTGTCTGAAAAATTTTTTATATTTACTGTCTGAAAACTTTATTTTTATTTGTGGAGTTCAAAAACATCACAACGATATGGTTATATATAATTTAACCATCCTCCTCAGTGATCCTTGGACCCTGTTTTACTTCCTTCTTATTTTCTTAAAATAAAAGAGAATGTATAACACATGTAGTTATGATATTTTTGCCACCATTTATAGAGGAAACACCCAAGTAATCAACAGCAAGCTTTGTATAAAAATATTACAAATACATCGAACAGCTCCCTCTTCCCACTGAAGGTATTATTGTCTTTAATTTGTGTTAATAATTTTCTTGTTTCACTTTGAAGTCTTTATTTCATAATGTGTAATAGATATAATTATTTTTGAAAATGATATCAATAAGATGGCTGGATAGGAATAGCTCTGGTCTCCAGCTCCCAGCTTGACGCAGAAGATGGGTGATTTCTGCATTTCCAACTGAGGTACCTGGTTCATCTCATTGGGACTGGTTGGACAGTGGGTGCAGCCCACAGAGGGTGAGCTGAAGCAGGGTGGGGCATTGCCTCACACGGGAAGCTCAAAGGGTAAGGAGATTTCCCTTTCCTAGCCAAGGGAAGCCATGACAGGCTGCAGCTGGAAAATTGGGACACTGCCACCCAAATACTGCACTTTTCCAATGGTCTTAGCAAATGGAACACCAGCAGATTATATCCCATGCCTGGCTCAGCAGGTCCCATGCCCACAGAGCCTTGCTCACTGCTAGTCCAAGATTGAACTGCGAGGCAGCAGCCTGGCTGGGGGAGGGGCATCCGCCATTGCTGAGGCTTGAGTAGGTAAACAAAGCCACCAGGAAGCTCAAACTGAGTGGAGCCCACCGCAGCTTAAGGAAGCCTGCCTGCCTCTGTAGACTCCACCTCTGGGGGCAGGACATAGCTAAACAAAAGGCAGCAGAAACTTGTGCAGATTTAAACGTCCCTGTCTGACAGCTCTGAAGAGAGCAGTGGTTCTCCCAGCATGGTGTTTGAGCTCTGAGAATGGACAGACTGCCTCCTCAAGTGGGTCCCTGACCCCCGTGTAGCCTAACTGGGAGACATCTCGCAGTAGGGACTGACTGACACCTCATACAGCTGGGTGCTCATCTGAGACAAAGCTTCCAGAGGAAGGATCAGGCAGCAATATTTGCTGTTCTGCAATATTTGCTGTTCCGCAGCCTCCACTGGTGACACACGGGCAATCAGGGTCTGGAGTAGACCTCCAGCAAACTCCAACAGACCTGCAGCTGAGGGACCTGGCTGTTAGAAGGAAAACTAACAAACAGAAAGGAATAGCATCAACATCAACAAAAAGCACATCAACACCAAAACCTCATCTGTAGGTCACCATCATCAAAGACCAAGGGTAGATAAAACCACAAAGATGGGGAGAAACCAGAGCAGAAAAACTTAAAATTCTAAAAACCAGAGTGCCTTTTCTCCTCCAAAGGATCACAGCTCCTTGCCAGCAATAGAACAAAGCTGGACAGAGAATGACTTTGAGGAGTTGACAGAAGTAGGCTTCAGAAGGTCAGTAATAACAACTTCTCTGAGCTAAAGGAGCATGTTCTAACCCATTGCAAGGAAGCTAAAAACCTTGAAAAAAGATTAGATTAATGGCTAACTAGAATAAACAGTGTAGAGAAGACCTTAAATGACCTGATGGAGCTGAAAACCGTAGCATGAGAACTACGTGATGCATGCACAAGCTTCACTAGCCTAATTGATCAAGTGGAAGAAAGGGTATCAGTGATTGAAGATCAAATGAATAAAATGAAGCAAGAAGAGAAGTTTAGAGAAAAAAAGAGTAAAAAGAAACAAACAAAGCCTCCAAGAAATATGGGACTATGTGAAAAGACCGAATCCACATTTGATTGATGTACCTGAAAGTGACAGGGAGAATGGAACCAAGTTGGAAAACACTCTTCAGCATATTATCCAGGAGAACTTCCCCAGCCTAGCAAGGCAGGCCAACATTCAAATTCAGGAAATACAGAGAACACCACAAAGACACTCCTCGAGAAGAGCAACCCCAAGACACATAATTGTCAGATTCACCAAGGTTGAAATGAAAGAAAAAATGTTAAGGGCAGCCACAGAGAAAGGTCAGGTTACCCACAAAGGGAAGCCCATCAGACTAACAGCTGATCTCTCGGCAGAAGCTCTACAAGCCAGAAGAGAGTAGGGGCCAATATTCAACATTCTTAAAGAAAAGAATTTTCAAACCAGAATTTCATATGCAGCCAAAGTGTTTCGTAAGTGAAGGAGAAATAAAATCCTTTACAGACAAGCAAATGCTGAGAGATTTTGCAACCACCAAGCCTGCCTTACAAGAGCTCCTGAAGGAAGTACTAAACATTGAAGGGAAAACCGATACCAGCCACTGCAAAAACATGGCAAATTGTAAAGACCATCGATGCTAGGAAGAAACTGCATCAACTAATGGGCAAAATAACCAGCTAACATAATAATAACAGGATCAAATTCACACATTACAATAACAACCTTAAATGTAAATGAGCTAAATGCCCCAAATAAAAGACACAGACTGGCAAATTGGATAAAGAGTCAAGACCCATCAGTGTGCTATATTCAGGAGACCCATCTAATGCGCAGAGACACACATAGGCTCAAAATAAAGGGATGGAGGAAGATCTACCAAGCAAATGGAAAGCAAAAAATAATAATAAATAAATAAATAAATAAATAAATAAATAAATAAATAAAAGCAGGAGTTGCAATCCTGGTCTCTGATAAAACAGACTTTAAACCAACAAAGATCAAAAGAGACAAAGAAGGCCATTACTTAATGATAAAGGGATGAGTTCAACAAGAAGAGCTAACTATCCTAATACATATGTCCTCAATACAGGAGCACTCAAATTCATAAAGCAAGTCCTTAGAGACCTACAAAGAGACTTAGACTCCAAGACAATCATAATGGGAGACTTTAACACCCCACTGTCAATATTAGACAGATCAACGAGACAGAATGTTAACAAGGATATACAGGATTTGAACGCAGCTCTGCACCAGCCAACCTGGTAGACATCTACAGAACTCTCCACCCAAAATCAAGAGAATATACATTCTTCTCAGCACCACATCACACTTATTCCTAAAGTGACCACATAGTTGGAAGTAAAGCACCCTCAGCTAATGTAAAAGAACAGAAATCACAACAAACTGTCCTTCAGACCACTGTGCAATCAAACTAGAACTCAGGACCAAAAAACTCACTCAAAACTGCACAACTACATGGAAACTGAACAACCTGCTCCTGAATAACTCCTGGGTAAATAATGAAATGAAGGCAGAAATAAAGATGTTCTTTGAAACCAATGAGAACAAAGACACAATGTACCAGAATCTCTGGGACTCATTTAAAGCACTGTGTAGAGGGAAATTTATAGCACTAAAGAGAAAGCAGGAAAGATCTAAAATTGACACCCTAACATCACAATTAAAAGAACTAGAGAAGCAAGAGCAAACACATTCAAAAGCTAGCAGAAGGCAAGAAATAACTAAGATCAGAGCAAAACTGAAGGAGATAGAGACACGAAAAACCCTTCAAGAAATCAATGAATCCAGAAGCTGGTTTTTTGAAAAGATGAACAAAATTGATAGACTGCTAGCAAGACTAATAAAGAATAAAAGAGAGAAGAATCAATGATAAAGGGTATATCACCACTGATCCCACAGAAATAGAAACTACCATCAGAGAATACTATAAACACCTCTACGCAAATAAACTAGAAAATCTAGAAGTAATGGATAAATTCCTGGACACATACACCCTCCCAAGACTAAACAAGGGAGAAGTTGAATCCCTGAATAGATCAATAACAGGTTTTGAAATTGAGATATAATTAATAGCCTACCAACAAAAAAAAGTCCAAGATCAGATGAATTCCCAGACGAATTCTACCAGAGGTACAAAAAAGACCTGGTACCATTCCTTCTGAAACTGTTCCAATCAATAGAAAAAGAGGGAGTCCTCCCTAACTCATTTTATGAGGCCGGCATCATCCTGATACCAAGCCTGGCACAGACACAACAAATAAGAGAATTTTAGACCAATATTCCTGATGAACATCGATGAAAAACACTCAATAAAATACTGGCAAACTGAATCCAGCAGCGCATCAAAAAGCTTATCCACCACGATCAAGTTGGCTTCATCCCTGGGATGCAAGGTGGGTTCAACATACACAAATAAACAAATGTAAACCATCACATAAACAGAATCAAAGACAAAAACCACATGATTATCTCAATAGATGCAGAAAAGGCCTTTGACAAAATTCAACAGCCGTTCATGCTAAAACTCAATAAACTAGGTATTGATGAAATGTATCTCAAAATAATAAGAGCTATTTTTGACAGACCCACAGCCAATATCATACTGAATGGGCAAAAACTGGAAGCATTCCCTTTGAAAACTGGCACAAGACAGGGATGCCCTCTCTCACCACTCCCATTCAACATAGTGTTGGAAGTTCTGGCCAGGGCAATCAGGCAAGATAAATAAATAAAGGGTATTCAATTAGGAAAAAACAAAGTCAAATTGTCCCTGTTTGCAGATGACATGATTGTATATTTAGAAAACCCCATGGTCTCAGCCCAAAATCTCCTTAAGCTGATAAGCAACTTCAGCAAAGTCTCAGGATACAAAATCAATGTGCAAAAATCACAAGCATTCCTATACACCAATAACAGACAAACAGAGAACCAAATCATGAGTGAACTCCCATTCACACACAATTGCTACAAAGAGAATAAAATACCTAGGAATACAACTTAAAAGGGATGTGAAGGACCACTTCAAGGAGAACTACAAATGACTGCTCAATGAAATAAGAGAGGACACAAACAAATGGAAGAACATTCCATGCTCATGGATAGGAAGAATCAATATTGTGAAAATGGCCATACTGCCCAAGGTAATTTATACTATCCCCATCAAGCTACCAATGACTTTCTTCACAGAATTGGAAAAATCCACTTTAAAGTTCATATGGAACCAAAAAAGAGCCCACATTGCCAAGATAATCCTAAGCCAAAAGAACAAAGCTGGAGGCATCAGGCTACCTGACTTCAAACTATACTACAAGGCTACAGTAACCAAAACAGCATGGTACTGGTAACCAAAACAGAGATATAGACCAATGGAACAGAACAGAGGCCTCAGAAATGACATCACACATCTACAACCATTTGTTCTTTGACAAACCTGACAAAAACAAGAAATGGGGAAAGGATTCCCTATTTAATAAATGATGCTGGGAATACTGGCTAGCCATAAGTAGAAAGTTGAAACTTGTCCCTTCCTTATGCCTTATACAAAAATTAATTCAACATGGATTAAAGACATAAATGTTAGACCTAAAACCATAAAAGCCCTAGAAGAAAACCTAGGCAATACCATTCAGGACATAGGCATGGGCAAGGACTTCATGACTAAAACACCAAAAGCAATGGCAACAAACACCAAAATTGACAAATGGGATCTAGTTAAACTAAAGAGCTTCTGAACAGCAAAAGAAATTGTCATCAGAGTGAACAGGCAACCTACAGAATGGGAGAAAATTTTTGCAATCTACTCATCTGACAAAGGGCTAATATCCAGAATCTACAATGAACTCAAACAAATTTACAAGAAAAAAATAACCCCATCAAAAAGTGGGCAAAGGATATGGACAGATGCTTCTCAAAAGAAGACATTTATGCAGCCAACAGACACATGAAAAAATGCTCATCATCACTGGTCATCAGAGAAATGCAAATCAAATCCACAATGAGATACCATCTCACACCAGTTAGAATGGTGATCATTTAAAAAGTCAGGAAAAAATAGGTGCTGGAGAGGACATGGAGAAATAGGAATGCTTTTGCACTGTTGGTGGGAGTGTAAACTAGTTCAACCATTGTGGAAGACAGTGTGGTGATTCGTCAAGGATCTAGAACTAGAAATGCCATTTGACCCAGTTATCACATTACTGGGTATATACTCAAAGGATTATAAATCATACTACTATAAAGACACATACACACGTATGTTTATTGTGGCACTGTTCACAGTAGCAAAGACTTGGAACCAATCCAAATGTCCATCAACGATAGACTGGATTAAGAAAATGTGCCACATATACACCATGGAATACTATGCAGCCATAAAAAAGGATGAGTTCATGTCCTTTGTGGGGACATGGATGAAGCTGGGAATCATCATTCTGAGCATACTATCGCAAAGACAGAAAACCAAACACCATATGTTCTCACTTATAGGTGGGAATTTAACAGTGAGAACACTTGGACACAGGGTGGGGAGCATCACACACT
Source organism: Homo sapiens (assembly GCF_000001405.40). Taxonomy (NCBI): domain Eukaryota; kingdom Metazoa; phylum Chordata; class Mammalia; order Primates; family Hominidae; genus Homo; species Homo sapiens. The sequence continues at coordinate 179,679,828 of NC_000004.12, read as the reverse complement.
GAGGCCTGTCGTGGGGTGGACGGAAGGGGGAGGGATAGCATTAGGAGAGATACCTAATGTAAATGACGAGTTAATGGGTGCAGCAAACCAACATGGCACATGTATACATATGTAACAAACCTGCATGTTGTGCACATGTACCCTAGAACTTAAAGTATAATAATGAAAAAAATGAGATAACTATATCATACTCTATATTTTCTTCTGTGACAACCTTTTATATACTCATTCTTTACTTTCCAAGACAAATTCATACTGAGTTATGTAACTTTAGTTATCTTATTTTCACTATGATGTTTATATTTTTTGATATTTTTGAATATTTATGTGTATATATATCTATATATACACATATATACACACATATATGTATGTATACATATATACACACATATATGTATGTATACATATATACACACATATATGTATGTATACATATATACACACAGATATATGTGTATACATATATATACGCACATATATGTGTGTACATATATATACGCACATATATCTGTGTGTATACATATATACACAGATATATATGTGTGTACATATATGTACACACATATATGTGTGTATACATATATATACATATATATGTGTGTACATATATGTACACACATATATGTGTGTACATATATACACATATATGTGTGTACATATATATACACATATGTGTGTACATATATATACACATATATATGTGTGTACATATATATACACACATATATGTGTGTACATATATATACACATATATATGTGTGTACATATATATACACATATATATGTGTGTACATATATATACACTCACATATATAGATATATACAGATATCTATATATACACACACACACATTTGTATACACACACACACACACATTTGTGAATATACCGTCAATGGACATTTGAATTGTTTCCCATGTTTTACTTTAGAAGTGATACTGCCAGAAACACTTTTTCATGTAGTCTCATGTACAGATGTATGTATTTTCTCCTATATACAAGTGGATTGACTAAATTTAGTAGGCTATGTGTGTCTTGCATTTGCCAGATATGATGAAGCTGAAAAAGTATAAACTGCCTCAGAATTCTATGAAGGTTCAAAATAGTCTTTGAATTCTTAATATTTGTCAGTATGGTAAGTATGAAAAAAATGCCCATTATGGTTTAAATTTACATTCCCCTGATAACTAGAAAAGCTGGGCTCTAATTCAATTGTTCATTCTCACGATGTGTTCTCTCTTTCATGCGAATTGCCTGTTTATGGCTTTTACTCTTCTCTCTCTCTCTCTCTCTTCTCCCTCCACCACCCAATCTTCTCAGCTCTTGTCTGTTTTGGTTTTTGCTTTTTATTTCTTGGTTCATGGGAAATTATTTTACATTCTGGACTTTATTTATCAGCTTAAAGTGCTATAAATATTTTATCTTAATTTGTGAAAAATACATGGATATTTTCATTTTTGTTGTATCATTTAGTGAAAAAGTGCTTTCATTTTAATACAGTTGACAGAGCAGGAGCATCGCCATCTTGGACAACCATTTTAAGTTCACCTTGATCCAAAACTGCCTAAATCCAAAACATCAGCCTAATAGCTAAGTTCAGCATGACCATAAACCACGAATAACATCTCCGACCAGACACATTCCAAACCCCTCCTCGACCAGAGACATGCCATCCCTGAGATAACCTCCCCTCCGTCCGGAAAGATGTCAGTCCCAAGATAACCTCTCCTCTGCCCAGAGACTTTCCAACCCCGCCATAAACTTCTCCCCCAACACAGAAACATTCCAAGCTTGTGATAAAACCTTTACCCTAAAACCAATATATGTTCTCAGTCTGTAAGAGAGAGTGCTCCTGACCTAAATCAGCCAGAAGCTCCTCTCAGGTTTATTTCTCTAAGATAAACCCGTCTTTGACTGTTAAGCCACATTTCATGTTTCTTTTTCTTTAACTCTTACAATAGTCATGCTTTTCAAAATTTACCCTATAATTTGTCTTGTTTAAGAAATCCTTTTCGATTTCAGTCATAAGGGCATTCTTCTATATGTTTTCTAAATTTAAATGTTTAATTTTGTACAAAATCCTCTTTATATCCACTGAATTGATTCTACAGTATAATGCTAAGTAAGGATCTGATTTCATTTTTTCCCATGTAGATGATGAATTTTACTGGCACCATTTATTTTGGATCCTTTTCCTATTTTGTATCTGCAGTGCAATGTCTGGTCACATATCTTGCTCTTATATCTGTATAGATCTGTTTTCTGGTACTCAGTTCAATTCTATTTGTCAGTGAACCTATCTCCATGCCAGTATTCTCTCTACACTGTTATGTGTGAAGTACAATCCTCCATGGGTCTCCCATAATCCTAGGTGTAAGAATGCAGGCCTTGATCCCTATATATCTGAGCCATTGCTCAGTTGTATTTACAACCAACATTCTTGAGGGATAAATTAATGTTGCCCTTGTGTATAAAGAATAGCTTTGATTACTGTTTCCCGTAAAGAGACAAATTCCCCAATACTTAATGTTTCTCTCCTGTAATGCAATCTTGTGCATCTACAGACATGTTTCTAAACTATCTTCATCTCTCATGAGAACTGAAGGCAGGAGGAACTGATGCTGTTTGCTGTGTCATGAGTTTTGAAGTCCTTTGTCCCTGACCCAGAAATATTATCTATTTTGCCAGCATTCAGCAAAGAGTGACAGAATGCCTTAGCTTGTAAATATAATAAAACCACATCCTAGGTCTGGTATTTTTCTCTTGTTGAATAGATTTAGCCTCAAATTATTAAATCCCCAAATATTCATATTGGTGTTATGAATGAAAACTGTATTGGATTCAAAGGTTAGTTTGAAGAGAAATTTCATGTTGAAGTGCTTATGTTTTTACCTATAAACATAAGGATATGGGCTTTAAATTTTTTAGAGGTAATTTTAATAAATTTATAACATTCTCTATAAACATTTCTTAAATATTTTTGCTAAATATATTTCTAGGCACACTATTCTGTTGCTATTAACTTCAGATATTCTGTTTCTTTTAGGATCCTTTTTGGTAAATAATATTTTTCAAGAAGTTTATTCTTCTCATCTAAGATGGCCTTTTTTTGGTATAACATTGTTCATAACTTTCCCTTATTTCAATTTTGTATCTTTAGGATCTTTAGTTATAATCCCCTCTCATACCTGACACTGCTAACTTGTCTACTGTCTCCCAGTTTCTTAATCTAGCTATCAGAAAATTTGTTGATTACCTCAAAAACCAATTTCAGTCTTTGGTAATTTTCCCTATGTTTTTAAATTTTGTTTGTGTCTATGCATATTTATATTTATATATCTAAGGTGTTTCGTCTTTCTTTTCTCTTCTTTTTATTGCTTCTAAAGATGAAAAACATCAGGCTTTTTTTTTTAAAGACCTATATTCTGTCCTGGTGTAAATGTTTAAAGCTATAAATTTGCCTGTTGGGACTGTCTTAGCTGCATCCATATATTTTGCATTAGTTTCATCTAGTGCCATTTCCCATCCACCTAAAAGACTTTCTTTAGAGTTTTTTTTTTCTTGTATTGCAGCCTGATGGTGATGAATTCTGTTAGTTATTGTCTTAGTTGGCTTGGCCTGCTATAACAAAATACTATAGACTGAGTGACTTAAAAAACATAAATTTAGGCTGGGTGTGGTGGCTTACACCTGTAATCCCAGCACTCTGGGAGACGGAGGCAGGTGGATCACGAGGTCAGGAAATAGAGACCATCCTGGCTAACACAGTGAAACCCCGTCTCTACTAAAAAAACAATGCAAAAAATTAGACAGGTGTGGTGGCAGGCACCTGTAGTCCCCAGCTACTTGGGAGGCTGAGGCAGGAGAATGGCGTGAACCTGGGAGGTGGAGCTTGCCGTGAGCTGAGATTGCACCACTGCACTCCAGCCTGGGTGACAGAGCTAGACTCTGTCTCAAAACAACAACAACAACAACAACAACAACAAAAACCCATAAATTTATTTTTTGCATTTCTGAAGGCTGGAAAGTTCAAGATCAATATGCTGGCAGATATGGTATCTGGAAAAGGCCCACTTCTGGTGTGCAGATGGCTACTTTTCATTGTATTCTCACAGGAAGGAAGGAAATGCATCTTGTGTATTTTCCTCTTTTTATAAGGTCATTAATCCCTGGATCTTTTGTCTCTTCCTCTTTTTATCAGATCATTCATCATATCATAAGAGTTTCACTCTCATGGACTCATCTAAACCTAATTAATACCAAAGGCCCAGTCTCCCAATACCATGCCCTTGGGGTTACAGTTTTAACCTATGAATTTGGGGGTGGAACAAAGTTATTATTTACTTTTATAACCTAAACATATTTTATTGTATCATTTTTTACAGATATTTTCAATAGAGATACAATTTTTGGTTCACAGGTTTTTTGTGTTTTGTTGTTTCCTCTCAGTGATTGAAGGATCCTACAATACTACCTCCATGATTTCTGATGCATTGTCAATGGATTTTGAAGCTATTGTTTGCATATATTTAAAGTATATTTCTCTCAACGTTTTGAAAATTTTGCCTTTAATTTGTAGTTGTCTAACTGAGCTGTGAATAGGCATGTAGTGCTGCTTTTTAATCCTCCCGGGTATTTTCTGAACTTCTTGAATCTGTCACTTTATGTTTTATTTTTCAAATTTATTAGTTTTCTGCAATTATTTCTGTAAATATTAATTTCCTGCTATATCCTCATTCTCTCCTTTTTTTATATGACTCTAGTTATGCATATTTTAGAACTTTGATATTACCCACAAATACCTTAGGTTCTGTTAATTTTATATTTCTTTGTATTCTTCAAACTGGATACATTCTATTGGTCTATATTCGAATTCCTGAAGTCTTAATATGCCGTTTCTATTCTACTCTTAAGCCCCAAAGTAATTTTTAAATCTCTAAAATATATAATTTGGTTTTGTCTTGCAGTTTCTATTTACATGATGAGATTTCCTATCTTTTTATTTATTATAAGCAAGTATATGGCATAGGAAAGCAAATATTTCTTTACAGTTTTGTTACTTCTAAAGCGGGGAAAACTCAGGGTTTATCTCTGTTGATTGTCTTTATCTTGAGGTTGAACCATATTTACATTCATCCTAGACAATTAAATGTTATGCTGCTTTGACACTGGATTTTGTTTTTATTTGTTGTTTTTAGAAGTAATTAACTTCATTGTCCTCAAACTGCAAGCTGTCTCTGAGATGATGACTCAATTATCATTGAAGCTTTTTATCCTTAGCTGGAATCTGTCTCACCCTGGCATGTTTCTGGGATGCCCAGGGGATTGGGGTAGACATTTACAGAATCTCTTTCTCCCTTGCTTTGGCTGTTCCCTTTTCAGATTTCTCGCCTGACTTTCCGGCAGCTTTTATTGCCTCAAATTTTGTGTTTTGGTTTTCCAAGCTGGAAAGACTGTTTTCTCTTAGAATTTGAGCCACGGTACATGATACCAGCTTTGACTTGTCCCCAGGCTAAGAGCTATAAAAACAGAAACCTCACCTGAGTAGTACTTTCTTCCGTCTGTCAACTGCCTCTAGAATTTTCCTACTTTTTTTTTTTTTCAGCACTCAATATTTGGCACTCTAATGTGCTATAGGTTCATTATGAAATTTCCTGTCCCAATCATAATATTAGCCATTGTCCAAAGAACCCTCATTCCTTTTATGAAAGAATGACTCTAGATATAGAATACATAAGTGATGATTACAAATGAAGAAAGTGAATGTAAAAGAGGTTAAGATATATTCCCGGTGTCATTTTAGATAATTGTTATATTTTAGCATTGAATTTAATTTACCCTGACACAAAAGTCAAAGCTCATAACCAAAATTTTCTACAGCTTGTAAACATATGTAAAAGATCAGCCTGATTACAAAATGTTTATATACTACATTGTAACATAGGCTGCATTCATAAAATGATTAGTAACATAAAATTTGGCATTTCACTCTTACATTCATATTTATTCCATGTTTTCAACCATTTACCTAAATTACGGTCCTTGAAATAATTTTAAAAGTATGAAAAACAATATTTGTCAAGGTTTGATAACAGTGTGTAGCTTAATCCTCTCTTATATTTTCAATTTAATCATTTTTTAAAAATGTTTGTTACACCTTTTAGCTGTCTATATATTTTCTCCAGCCCTGATGACACCAGATCATACTTATCCCAGCAGGCTCATAATAAAGTACAACCAGCAAATATTAGCAGAATTAAGTGAAGGGTTTAAATACTAATAAATGTATAACATAATGATAGGCGTTCTATCATTATATTAAAAAAACATGCTTATTTTCTTTCTAATATGGTTACCTGTTAACTAATTCAATTATGTTACATTTATTAAGCAACTATTTTGTGGTAGGAATTTTCATTATAGATATGAAAAGGATTATGACCCTCCCTTTGAGAATCCAAGGAACAGAAATGAGCTGGTAATTATAAAAGCAATGGATGACTGTTTAAATGAAGAAGTGAAAGAAATTGTATTAGTTTTCTAGGTCTGCTGTAACAAACTATCACAAACTCTCTGGCTTAAAACAGTAGAAATTTATTCTCTCAAATTCTTGAGGTCAGAAATAAGTATGAAATCTAAGCATCAGTTGAGCCATGCTCTCTCTGAAGGGTCTGGGGGAGACTTGGTTCCTATTTCTTTCTTTCAGCTCTTGCTGTTGCTGGCAATCCTTGCTGTTTCTTGGCTTATTGATACACAACTTCAATCTCTGCTTCTGTTGCCCCTTGGTTCTTCTTGTCGTCACTGTCTGTTAGAGAGGATAAAATAATGGAAGAAAGCTAAGGTTGTTGGCAAGGTATCAAATCAATAATTATTTATTGAGCACCTATTATATGCTTGTGCAAGTTATATGGAATTTTACAATTAAAAAACCTGTTCTTCATATTTTACTAAATGGACAAATGTCCCTTTGCTTTTCCCGTAAGGACACCAGTTATATTAAACTAGAACCCACCCAAATCCAGAATTACTTCATCTTAAATTGATTACATCTGCAAGGACTCTATTTCTAAGTAAGGTCATACTTACAGATACTCAGGGTTAGAATTCAGTATATCATTTTGGAGAAACAATTCAACCTACAACTGGGTGTTTGTGAGGAGAGAAATAGAATGATCAACTGACACTAACTACAATACCTGAAAAGTTGCCCCACATAAGGATTCATTTGAGATAGATCTGAATAATCAGTTCTTACTGTTAATATTAGCAATTGTAGTAGTCTGTCCTCATGCTGCTAAAAAAGATGTACCCAAAACTGGTATGGTGAGAAGCTTTGACTCACAGTTCCTTCCACATGGCTGTGGAGGCCTCATAATCATGGTGGAAGGTGAAGGAGGAGCAAAGGCACTTCTTACATGGCGGCAGGCAAGACCACATGTGCAGGGGAACTCTCCTTTGTAAAACCATCCACTCTCATGGGACTTATTCACTATCAAGAGAACAGCATGGGGAAGACCCGCCCCTGTGATTCAATTACCTCCCACCAGGTCCCTCCCCTGACATATGGGAATTATGGGAGCTACAATTCAAAGAGATTTTGGAGGGGACACAGCCAAAGCATATCAGCAATGGTCATAATTATATTAATTACTATTAAGAAAGAAATGACTGTAATAAAATAATGAGATTTAAAAGATCATAAAATATATTTTAACAACATTAAATATTATGTAAAACATAAAAAATTGCTGGATTTCACTGCAATTAAAAATATCTTTAGATGGAATGCAATCCAAATATGTAAAACAAATTTTAATGCAGTTGCTTATTGGATGCCTTTTGATGCCTTGGAAAACAAATAACATTTCAAACATAAAGTGATAATTTTAAAAGTTGAAGTGATTTACTTTAGAAAGAAACTGGAAAAAAATTACTAGCAAAGTATTCCTTTAAAGAAGTTCATTTTTTTCCAGAAGGACAACCCCTGAAGTAGAGCTAAAAATAGATATTTCTACCGTAATTACAGTAAAAGATTAAGGAGCTAAAAAGAGAGATATTCCTACCGTAATTACAGTAAAAGATTAAGTATAGATCCCTACAGTGAATTAATAAAATTTGACATAAGCATTTCCCAAGATAATCATAATACCTCAAAATATTTATTATTACACAAAGAAATGAAGAAAATTCTGTATTATTAGAGAAAGCAGCTTTACTTTCACAGGTCATAATTGAATGTAACACTTCTTAATTTAGGCAAAAACATTTTTCCACCTAAAGCAACACTTATATTTTTAAAGAAAATAATTGTGATTTCATTGTTCTTATTTTCATCCATACTTCTGAAACGCATAAGATTTTATCTGCTAAATTTTCAACAGCTACAGTAGATTTTGTGTTTTAAAATCTATGTTGAGCATATGCTCAGAAAACATTGTAATTTATCATTCTGAAGCTACGAATTGGAAACAGTATCCATTTGATACTATTTTGATTCTGATTATGAAGCTGTATCAATTTGAGGGAGGGGTGGGTATTTCATTAGCCTATGTTATTTTATTTCAATAGTACTCATTTGAAATAATTGTTTTAGATATACGGATATGCGTGAATACCATTATGTCTAATCTAAAGAATTATATAGAAATTGGTTATTATTATAACTGAAGAAATCCATTAAGTGGTTATGGCTTATATAGCTATATTCTCTTAAGGTTGAACGACGTATCCCAGACTCTGATATTATATTAGAAGCCTAGAGAATTTACACAATAATGAGATTTCTTTGAGTCTAAGACAAAATCACATAATATGCTACAAATATTAAGTAATCTTTCTATGGAGGTAAGTATCCAATGAACTGAAGATTTTGAAAGAAATAGCACAAAAGTACTAAAAGTACATTTGATAAATCTTCTTAATTCTATCCTTAAGTTCTTACGCTGAAACTTTGTCCTAATCATCAAATATTATCTTAAAAATAAATATAATTATTTTAATATCATTTCAGCATGAAAATTTTTAATGTATCTTTCTTTATAAGTATAAATGGAAATAATTCATTCTTAATGGTTTACTCAGTTTCAAATCAGTATTGTTTTAACCTTTCTCACACTATACAAATAATTTGTCTATTAAACATACAAGTATAACATATAAAGATGCCTGGATTATAAAGTTCATCACTTTGGTATTAGTAGTAGTAGTTACTTCATGTAAAAGCAGTTTAACTTTTCTAAGACAATGTACCTATGGGTTAGGATTTAAAATTCATATTTATCCCTATTATATGTTACTCAATTCATCGCTCAATGATTTTTTAAAAGTCTGATGATGTAATAACATAATTTTTATTTATTTGTTTATTTATTTTCTGCGACAGAGTCTCTCTCTGTCACCCCCCTGGAGTGCAGTGGCGCAATCTCGGCTCACTGCAACCTCCGTCTCCTGGATTCAAGCGATTCTTCTGCCTCAGCCTCCCGAGTAGCTGGGATTACAGGTATGCACCACCATACCTGGCTAATTTCTTGTATTTGTAGTAGAGACAGGGTTTCACCATGTTGGCCAGGCTAGTCTGGAACTACTGACCTCAGGTGATCTGCTCCCCTCAACCTCCCAAAGTGCTGGGATTACAGGCATAAGCCAACGCAACTGGCCTAATATAACTCTTATTATGATTCATTATACTGTTACCAAAAGTAAGGATAGGTTTAATAGCAAATATGTAATCTAGATAAAATTATTAAGAATGAGAAAGACTGTCTTATCACAGATCTTTGAGGATAAATGACCTTATTTTAATAGCATATTGGAATGTTTAACACAAGAAATATTTTAATGACATCTTTACAAGAGTTGGGGTGAATAACGGTGATATAGATCAGAGTCCCTTGTTCTTACAAGTAATATTCTTGCCATGTCACCTTCCTTGAAAGCTGATTCTAGTCTATGTGACTAGGAATCATTGACTGTCATTGAATTTCTCTTTTGTGTATTTTTTTGGTTATGTGTGGCATTTTTGAACTGGAACTTTATAAAAAAGTACTACCATATGGCAGAGAATCCAGGAAATGAGAGTTCAGTGAGATAGAAACAACAAAGCAGATACCTTCCAAAATAAATTATGTGGCTATCTGAGATAAAAGGGGGAAACAGGTTCAACTGACAAGCTGATGTTGAATTCATTGATGCGTTTCATGAAAAATTTAAACAGAATAAATTAGCATGTTCTGTTTTCATTCTGTAAGGAGAGCTGCTAATTTGTCTTTATCCCAGAGATTGTGAGGATACAATGAAGTTTAAGCAGAAATTTGTATGTCTAATAATTGTAACCAGAATGAAAAGCTACATTACTGCAGAGGATTTCCTGTGTGGAATATATAAAAATGTCAATAGCATGCCTAACTAGGCACATAATTGCAGAGCACATAACTAAAAGTTTCAAGTAATGTTTAATCAAACAGATCAAAACCCCGACCCTAAAAGGGGAGGAAATTCAAAAGAAAAAAAAAAGTAAGAAAGATTTATTAGTCAGGGATTTCCAGAGGGACAGAACTAATAGGATGGATGTATATATAAAGGAGAGTTTATTAAGGAGTATTGACTCACAGGGTCACAAGGTGAGGTCCCACAATAGGTCCTCTGCAGGCTGAGGAGCAAGGAAGCCAGTTCGAGTCCCAAAACCTCAAAAGTAGAGAAGACGGCAGTGCAGCCTTCAGTCTGTGGTGGAAGGTCCAAGAGTCCCAAAGCTGAAGAACTTGAAGTGCGATGTTCCAGGGCAGGAAGCATCCAGCACAGGAAAAAGATGGAGGCCAGAAGACTCAGCCAGTCCAGTCCTTCCCCACTCCTCTGCCTGCCTTTATCCAAGCTGCAGTGGCAGCTGATTCGATGGTGCCCACCCAGTCTGAGGATGAGTCTGCCTCTCCCAGTTTACTGACTTAAATGATAGCACTAATGTTGGAGTTTTGGGGGAACTCCAAATCACGTATATCTCTTCCATATTTTCTGTCTCACCTTCTGGCAGTCTCACGAAGGTTCAAGTAGAAAAGAGCTGTTTGTAGCACAAGAAAGGGCAGCCATACTTATACCCCATCTAGCCCTGGTTTTCATCGCACCTTAGGATTCATGGTTATGTATGTAGCAATAGTTAGGGCCAGGCTCATGAAGCAATAGTGTCATTTACCACTTCCCACACGGGCCACCATTGTGGGATGAGTATCAGAAAGTTCAATAATCAAAAACCCATTCCTTTACATGCACACGCACACACACACACACACACACACACACGCATAGACACAAATTCTCCCCCATGGATTACATATAGTCCCTGGAATTATACATTGGGACAATATTCCTTTTTTCCTGACAAAACTCAAAAAGTCTATGGAGAAGAAAACATGCCAAATCATACCATCAAACCAAGTCTAATCACTTAGACTTCATTGTCAAAGTGATTAGGAAATTTCTTCCTGGAAGCTATTATAGCAGCTGTGAAATTAGAGCTAAAAAGATGACACTAATATAAAGGCATAAAGTTAGAGAGGATAAAATAACTGAAGAAAGCTGAGGTTGTTGGCAAGTTACCAAATCAATAATTATTTATTGAGCCCCTATTATATGCTTGTGCAAGGTATACAGAACTTTATATTTAAAAAACCCATCCTTTATATTTTACAAAATGCACAAATGAGGAACATTTCCTAACTTGCTAAGGTAGACTAGCAAACCAAATTTTAAAAAATTAAAAACATGACAAACATATGATAAGAATATAAAGTTAGAGGTTGATCTATAGATGCAAAAATATTAAACAATAACAATAAAAATATATGAAAAAGAAAAAGAGAAATTAAAGGAAGGGAGAAAAGAAAGGAAAGAATGAAAGGAAAGACTGGAAGGAAAGAAAAGACTGATGTCGAGAGCTGTAAACACGGGGTTATCCTGCTCCTGGTATTTGAAACATAGTGACTTCAGCTGGCATAGCTGCGAGGCTGTGAAGATAACAGCAAATCTCCATTGGAAGGCTATCATAAATTCCCTTCATTGAACTAAACCAGCCATTTTTTATCCCCTGAAAATGCTTCCTCTTACTTGTCCAGTCTTATCTGCAGGTATCGCCCCAGAAACATCACTTGGTTTCATAATAGAAGATTGGGGACCCTCCTTCCGAAATAATCCACGATACTGTATGGGCCTGGTAACTTGGACTGGTAGCTACAGTCATAAAACCAATCACTTTATCTTGGTAAAAAGAAAGGACAAAAGAGGAAAGCAGTAAAAAAGTGAAGAGAGGTTGAGAAGAACAACTTATAGAAAAGCAAATGATCAAAATAATCTGAAATTAAAAAGTACTAATTCTCCCCCACCTCTGGGTCTCCAGAAAACAAGACAAAACAAGACAAAACTGACATCATACATTCTGCCCTTCCTAAAAGACAATTTTAAATCACAAAACCTTGGTCTGGTTTTTTAATATTTGAGTGACATAGCAGAAAATATATCCCAAATAATTAATTACAGAAATGGATTTACCATAAAGCTTACAATTGCTTAAGTTCAGTAACTTTCACCTCCAAAAGAGGCTCTTTCATAAGTCCAGTGAAGCATCCTCATGATGTGCTCACGTGGCCATGTGTTTAAAGGAAAGATATTTTAATCAAAATCTGTTATGAGTGTTATTTCCTTCTACTCCGTCTTCCCTTCCTCCAAGAGAGCACTGGAATGGCAAGACGGCAATTTTAGGATTTATCTAAGAGGAAATTGCATTGAGAACAAATTTAGTTTGGGGTTTTTGGGATATCCATGGGGTCTCAGATCACTCCAGTGTGTAATTTAGTTCCTAGCAGTTATCAGAGCCAGAGAGAGGAATGGTTTTCCAAAGCACTCCTATCACCACTATGCTGACTTGCAAGCCTCAAGACACACAGTTGCAAGAGTAGGGGCCACATTACTATATAATCATGTCCTGTGGCATCCAGAATTCCAAGTTTGAGGATGAAAGACAAGCCTATGTTTGAGACATTCAACGTAAGAAGACAGTGTGTGGAAAACACCACCAATTATCAACCACCTGAAATTGAAAACAGAGTCAAAAGGACAATATTCTCATGTCAGAAATATGTATAATAATGCAAGATTTATACAGTAAATGGACCATATGCCTTTAAGGTGTATCATTGTTGCAGGACTTTTCCTTAGTTCAGCTAAAGACAGGGTCCTTGTTCGTTCCACAGCCATGAAAATGTAGGTTCGCAGATGGTTTGAAGGGTGAGTGAAACAGGGTTTTATTGGGTGAAAAGGGGAAACAGGGACTCTTGCAAGGCCGGAGTCCCTGCTAGAGCACTTCCTACCCTGCAGTTGGAATCCCAGTTTCCACACAGGAGGAGGAGGGGCCAGGTCCCTCCCTGCTGCAAACATCAGGAATTTCTCAAGAGGCTCCACTTCAGTGGTCAGGCTGGTTGGAGTTCCTCCAGGGACCCCCCTCCTACCTGGCTGTCTCATCATGTCAATAAAATCTACCAAAATCCCACATTTAAATACTCAAACTGATAGAAATAAGCACATTTGTGTGTGAAATCACATGTTTTATGTGCCCCAGCTATCATTTAAAAAAAGAACACATTTTAATACACTATGCAAGAAGAAAGAGTACATTAATTTTCTTTTCTCTCTGTAGAAAAATACAAAATTGTCATTTGCAGAGGCAATCAGAGTACACAAAATGTAGGGGGGAAATGTGTTAAGCAGTGTGTCTGGCAGGCAATAGATATACTATTTTTCTGTATTTTGTGTTGTTTGGCGGTTGTCAGCTTTTAAAACTGTTTAACTTGCGGGCATTTCTTTTATCTTTCTAAATAGTCATTTTAATAAATAAAAAATAGACCATTCATCAACAAACATTTATTAAAAATCTACTCTATGAAAAGATTTACCAAGGAGGTAAATTGCAGCACTCACTAAGAAAAGAAAAAAAAAAAACAGTCCTGTCTTCTTTATAACAGAAGGTAAAGCAAACATAGAGTAACTGAAGAAGCAGGACTTTTAAATTTTATTTATTAATTTTGAGACAGGATCTTGCTCTGTCACCCAGGCTGGAGTGCAGTGGTGCAATCTCGGCTCACTACAACCTCTGCCTCCCAGGTTCAAGTGATTTTCCTGCCTCAGCCTTCCAAGTAGCTCGGACTACAGGCGTGTGCCACCACGCCCAGCTAATTTTTTTTGTATTTTTAGTGGAGATGGGGTTTTACCATGTTGGCCAGGCTGATCTCAAACTCCTGACCTCAGGTGATGCTCCTGCCTTGGCCTCCCAAAATGGTGAGATTACAGGCATGAGCCACTGTGCCCAGCCGAAGCAGGACTTTAATATAGTTTTAGAAAAAGGGGAGATTCGGGGTGTTCTGTACTCATGTAATAGAATATTGGCTAAGGACAGGTAGGGGAGGATGGCAAGCGGGGAGCTGCTTAAGGAAGTGAATTGTTGTTGTGTTTGCAGCATGAGCGGGCGTTATGTCAGAAATGCCCCGCACGGGTGAGAGGGGAGTCTAGGCAGAGGGGTAGTTCATGCTCTGGCTCTGAAGCCGGAAAGACCATGGAATGATGGACAGAGTAGTAACAGGTGGCACATGGCAGATGATGAGTGCCGCCAGGGGGTGGTCACTGGCACATCGCACAGGGCCTGTGGGCTGAGGCATTATTTTGTCTTTTATGATCATAACGAAGTGATCGGTTGGAAGTATAGTCCTGACTAACTGGTCAGTAACGCCTGCGGAGAGCGGAGCAGGTCCTGCAGAACAGCCTTTTCTTCCACGTTGTTTCCTTATTACATGGATAAGGAAAACATTTGCTTCTGATGCAGGACAGTCGAGCCTGGGAGGGTTCTTGGCTTCGCTCAGGAAGGCATTCAAGGGCCAGCAGGTGATGTGAAATAGCAACTCTTACTGAAGCGCAGTGTACAGCAGCCGTGGAGGTACTGCCCCAGCAGCAGTGGAGGTACTGCCCCAGCAGAGTGGGGCTACCCCATAGGCAGTGTGCCCAGAGCAGCAGCAGCAGCTCAGAGGAAGTTTTGAAGTCATAATTATACTCATTTTTAGTTACATGCAAATGAAGGGGTGGATTATGCAGAAATTTCTAGGAAAAGGGTGGTAACTTCTGACTCGTTGCATTGTTGCCATGGAAAGGGGCAGTAACTTCCAGATGTTGCTATGGCAGAGGTAAACTGACAATGGCACACTGGTGGGTGTGTCTTATGAGGAGGTGCTTCTGCCCTGTCGCTGTTTTAAATAGTCCTCCATTTGGTCTGGTGGCCAAACCTTGTCTCTGAAGTCGAGCCCTACCACCTGTCTCGTTCCTGTCTGAGCCCTTGTCTGTGTGGAGTCTGCATGTTCTCTCTGCCTAGGTTTTCCCTGAGCACTAAGGTTTCCGCCCATATCCCAAAGCTGTGCCCATTAAGTTCCCTAGCAGTTCCCCGTATCCCAGTGTGGATATGAGTGGTGTGGGTGAATGTGGGTGAGTGAGGGTGAGGGTGAGTGTGGGTGAGGGTGAATGAGGGTGAGTATGAGTGTGAGTGTGGGTATGAGTATGAGTGAGTGAGGACGAATGTGGGTGAATTTGTGTTTGAGGATGTGAGTGGGGGTGTGAGTGGGGGTATGTGTGTGTGTGAGAGTGAATGAGTGTAGGTGAGTGTAAGTCTGGATGAGTGTAGGTGAATGAATGAAGGTGGATTAATGTGAGTGTGGTTGAGTGTGATTGTGAGTAAGTGTGAGTGAAGGTGTGTGTGGGTGTGAGTGTGGGTGTGACTGAGTGTGGATGAGTGTAGGTGAGTGTCAGTGAATGTGGATGAATGTGAGTATAGGTGAGTGTGGGTGAGTGTGAGTTTGGGTGAGTGTGAGTGGATGAGGGTGAGTGTGACTGTGGATGAGTGTGAGTGAGTGTGAGTGAGTTTGGGTGAGTGTGAGTGGGTGAGTGAGGGTAAGAGTGACTGAGTGTGGATGAATGTGAGTGTAGATGAGTGTGAGTGGGTGAGTGTGAGTGAGTTTGGGTGAATGTGAGTGGGTGAGTGAGGGTGAGTGTGGATGAAAGAGTGAATGTAGGTGAGTGTGAGTGAATGTGGATGAATGAGTGTGGGCGAGTGTGAGTGTTTGTGGGTGAACATGAGTCACCAGGCGACGGGAGGGTGGCTGGCTGGGGTGGTCCCGCCTGGCTCCTTGAGCTGTCAGGACAGGCTGCGGCCACCTGCAACCCTGAACTGAAATAAGCAGGTTGAAAAATGAGCGAATGAAAAAATACAAATGATTGTAAACTAGAAATTCACCAAGTAGACAACAATCATACAGATGCGTGGCAATAAACGGTGTAGTAGGAAAGCACTCAGTGAGCTCACCCTCTTTATGATTGCTTTTGAACTTTGTGGTGAGGGGAGGTTGCTCCTTACAAGTTTGGCTTCACAAACGTGTATTCCTTGATTAAATTCCATTATGACCACAGTCACTCACCATCACCGAAAGTTGGTAAATAATTATCTTACTTGTTTTGATTAATCTTTCTTAAATGTATGTATAGCTTACATTTATTCCAATTTTTACTAATAGAAATGTTTGGGTCTTTATGTAGAATTTGGTGACACTTTTGTGACCAGAAATATATTTACAAACAGAACTCTTGTTTATATTAGTCTATAAGAAAATTGGTTTTATTACATGTTGTTTCACTTACAGTAGCAGTTTCCAAGAACTTACGGATGGTGTTAAGTGAGGACCTACTGTATGGGATGAAAGGATATTGTGGAAACCAGTAAAAAGTAACAGCAGCTGTAATAGTAGCTATAACCAGGATGGTGGCAGAGACATAAAAACAAAGAAAACCTATTCTAGGTGGAGGAAAAATATGAAAATATGAAAACAAGAAAACAGAGGTGGAAAAATATAGAATGTATAAGACTTAGAGTAATCCTATGTGGCCAGGGCATATGGTAAGTCTTTAAAGAAAAAGGGCAGAAAATGAAATTGAAGAGAGAGGTCACCTCCTTCAAGTCTTTGCTCAGGTCCTCTTCAATATTCTTTTAAAAAAACTTGTGCTCCTTTAACACTCTGTAACATGAGCTCTGTCTTGTTCAGTCATGTTTTCTCTCAGAAGAATGCTAAGAATCTAGAAAAAAGTCAGTGTTTGCTAAATTAATAAATAATAAGTACTGTGAGCACTATTTGTTTGAAACAAAAACAACAATTTTGTAAGAACTGTGTTTGAATAGTTAATTCTGGAGACAAGAGGACACTTTTGTTGACAATAACTGCACCTTGAAAATCCTCTCCACACGTCTTAATTTCAAGTTACTGGGAAGAATAAGAATAGCCATATATATATATATTATTATTATTATCTTGAATGTTGGCAATATTTCAAAATAAGAACTCACAGATGGTACTTTGCAGTGAATTTGAAAAGACAAAATTTCTACTTAAGAACCATTATCAAAATTTCTAAAATGAGAGCTATCTTAGTCCATTTAGGCTGCTATAACAAAATATCTTTTTTTTTTTTTTTTCTTTTTTGAGATGGAGTCTCGCTCTGTCGCCCAGGCTGGAGTAGAGTGGCACGATCTTGGCTCACTGCAAGCTTCCCATCCCGGGTTCACGCCATTGTCCTGCCTCAGCCTCCCGAGTAGCTGGGACTACAGGCGCCCACCACCACCCCCGGCTAATTTTTTGTATTTTTAGTAGAGACAGGGTTTCACTGTGTTAGCCAGGATCGTATTGATCTGCTGACCTCCTGATCCGCCCGCCTAGGCCTTCCAAAGTGCTGGGATTACAGGTGTGAGCCACCGCGCCCAGCCAACAAAATGTCTTAAACCAGGCAATTTATAAATAAAAGAGATTTCTTGCTCATCTTTCTGGAGACTGGGAAGTCCAAGATCAAGGTACCAGCAGGTTCCATGTCTGGGGAAACCTCTCTGCTTCATAGATGGCAACTTCTTGTTGTGTGCTCACATATTGGAAGGGTGAACAAGCTCCCTCAGGCCTCTTTTATAAGGTCAAGAATTCCATTCATGAGGGTGGAGCCCTCATGATCTAATCACCTACCAAAGGTCCTGTCTCTTAATACTACTAAATTGGGTATTAGGTTGCAATATATAAATTTTGGGGAGAAAAAACAAATAACCATACTGTAGTATTCCACCCCTGTCCACTCAAAATCCACATCCTTCTCATGTGGAAAATACACTCATTCCATCCCAAAAGCATCCAACATCTTAACTAGTCCCAGCATCAACTTTAAAGCCTAAATCCAAAGACTTATCTAAATATTATCTAAATCAGACATCAGTGAGACTCAAGGTTAGATTTATTCCGAGGCAAATTTTTCTCTAGTTGTGAGCCTGTGAGTCGTGAGGTTCCAAAATACAATGGTTGCACAGGCATAGGATAAATCTTCCCATTCCAAAAGGGAGAAATAGGAAAGAAGGAAGAAGTGACAAGCTCCAACCGAGTCCAAAATTCAGCAGGGAAAATGACATTAAATCTTAAGTATCCAGAGTAATCTTGATAATAGTTTCCATGTCCAGCCTTCTGGACACACTGGGGTTGGGGGTGGGCTCCCAAGGCTCCAGAAAGCCCTGTCTCATAACTTTTCTGGGTGCAGTTCATACCACAGCTCTCACAGGTTGCGGTCATGCTCTCTGGGTTTTCTGGACTGGAACTGAATGTCTGTGATTCAACCAGCCGGGGATCACAGAGGTGGCCCTGTCTCCATAGCTTTACTAAGCATTGCCCTAGTGGAGGCTCTCTGTGGTGCCTCACCCCTGCAGCAGTTCTCTGCCTGGGCCTTGCGATGCTCTGGGACATCCACTGAGATCATGATGTAGGCAGCCATGCCCCACAACCCTGAATTCTGCTGGCTGGTGGAGATGGCTCACATGGGTACTTCCAAGGTTTACTGCCTGTGTCTCCTGAAAGGTGGTCGCTGTGGCCTGTGGGGCCACTGGAGCCACACCTGGGACAGCTGAGGATCCCTATACCAAAATTTAGGGAGCAGAGACTTGAGGCAGTGGCAGAACAATGAGCATTGAGATCTGACAAATGCCTGACACCCCCATTTTGACATAGTTCTGTCCCTCAGGTACTGGCACTCTGGGTGTTTGATGAGGGTGGCAGCCCTGCTGATCCCTGAGACACTTTTGCAGTCATTTTCTATTGTCTTGATAAATAGCACCTGGCTTCCGCAAATCCATGGCAATGTCCTTATCAGTCACTTTGCTGCACCCCTGTTGTTCTCTCCCAAACAAGTGTCTTTATTCTTCACAACATGACCAGGCTTAGAATACTCCAAATCTTTACATTGTCCTATGCTTTGGACTAGAAACTCTATCTTTAGGTCATTTCTCCCTTCTCATATTTTACTATAAATAGTAAACAAAAGGCATGCCACACCCTCAACACTTTGCTATGTTTCTTCCACCAAATATCCTAAATTCATTGCTCACAAGTTCAGCCTTCCACAAAACACTAGGCCATGACCAAAATTCAGCCAACTTCCTTGCCATTTTATTACAAGAATCACCTTTCCTCCAATTTCCAAAAAAAAGCATGTTTCTCATTTTTATTTGACTTAATCAGAATGGTCTTTGCCATCCATATTTCTACCAATATTCTGTTCATAACAATGTATGTAATCTCTGTGAAGACTGCGGTTTTCTGCAGCTCTCCTCTTTTTCTGAGCCCCCACCAAAACAGTCCTTAATGCTCCTGTCACAGCAATGTAGGCTTTTTCTAGTACACACCTGAAAATTCTTTCCGTCTCCACCCATTACCCATTCCCAAAGCTGCCTCCACATTTTTAGGTATCTGTTACATCAGCACCCCACTTCTCAGTAATAAAGTATTTCTGAGTTCATTCAGGCTGCTATAACAAAGTACGACAAAGTGCATAATTCATAAACAACAGAAATTTATTTCTCACAGTTCTGGAGGCTGGGAAGTCCAAGATCAAGGTGCCGACTCATTCAGTGTCTGGTCAGTGCTCCTTCTCTGTGTCATAGATGGTGCCTTTTTGCTGTGTCTCACATGGAAGGATGACAGAGCTCCTTCAGGCCTCTTTTATAAGGGCCCTCATCCTATTTATGTGGGTGACACACTAATGACCTAATCATCTCCCAAATGTTCTACTTTCTAATAACACTACACTGGGAACTAGTTTGCAATATATATATTTTAGGGGGACACAAACATTTAGAGTATAGCCAGGGCTATTCTGCCTCATTGAAGATTCATGTATTTGATAAATATTAGCTAAGTATCTACATTAGAAAGGCACTGTACCATGCTATTAACATATATTGGTAAACATAGGAGGCACAGTGCCTAATTTCTACATTGAATATCAAAAACAAATATGCAAAGTAATGTAAAACAAAACAAGAGCACTTTTTGAAAGCCTTTTGATTGCCATAAAGATAATAAACATATTGTTGAGATAGAGAACAGAGAGCTTCTCTTCATATTAAATGATTGGGAATCTTCTTCAAGAGAAAGAACATTCAAGCTATGAGTGAAAGATAAAAAGGAAGTCTCCCTCAGAGGAGCTGAGAAAATAGGCAAAGGGAACGCAAAGACTCTAAAGCAGGGAAGGGCTTGGCATGCAGAAGGAAAGGGAAGAAAAGGTCATGAATGAAAAGGAAAACAGTTGATCATTATGGTGCTTTTCAGTGTTCAAACACTGTTCTAAGACCTTGCTTCTATTCTGTCTGTAAAGCCTTGCAACCCCACCACTGTTTCACCCATTTAGAGCTGAGAAAACGGAATTACAGAGAGACAAAGTAATTTGCCCTAGATCGCTCATCAAAAGGTCATTCATAATCAGGCAACTGAACACGAGTCAAGATCAATGTACAAGGTCTTATAAGAGGCTGCAAATTTGTATATCGTCAAGGTTACCTAAACCTTGAACTTAAGTATTAACTCTCCATAACTCCTATCAGTGTAGATGTTTTTAAATATAATAATATCTTCATCACATAACATTGTAAAGTGATATTGAGTGTCATTTTCTGAAGTAGAAACATAAAGTAATAATCAAATGTTTTAGTTGTATCCTTACTAATTCTAGAAATGATATGATATTGCTAAGAAAAATTTTAAATAAATATGTATACAGTATTCATGGACTAGATGAGTCAGTAGTATCTAGATTTTAATTATTCCCCAATTGATCCATACATTTACAGTTATCCCCACTAAAATCCCTCTCAAAAGCTTATTTTAATAAAGTAAATTGACAAGATGATTCTAAAATGTATATGTAAACACCAAAGACCTCGAATACCTCTGAAATTTTAGAAAATAAGAACAAAAATTGAATGCATGTTGTTTGAATTCATGGCTACTATAAATCCAGTATAATCAAAACTGTGGCATTGACATAGTATCAAAAAGAGATTTAAAATGTATTTATCAAAGTTCTGGAGGCTAGGAATACCAAGATCAAGATGTCAACAGATTCAGTGTCTCGTTATGACTAACTCTCTGCTTCCAAGATGGCACTTTGTGGCTGTGTCCACTAGAGGTGATGAACTGTGTGTTCTCACATGGCAGAAAAGATGGAAGAACAAAAAGAAACGATAGTGTTCCCTTCGGCCTCTTTTATAAGAGCAGTAATTTCATTCATGTGAGAGGAGAGCTCATGACTTAATCAATTCCCAAAAGTCCCCACCTCTTAAGACTATTACATTGGATATTAGGTTCCAGCTTATAAATGTTGGAGGAACCCATACATTCGAACCACAGCAGAGGCATCTTTAAAAAATACTTAGGTGAGCATTAGCCAACAGAAAACACTCATAACCTATGTATGTGACAAAGGGCTCACATAGAAAATGTACATATATCTCCTATGAGAAATAATAAAAGACAAAGTACCTAGACACTTCAAAATGAAGATATGCAAGTTACCATTACACGGTTAGAAAGTGCTCAAATTATTCATCATTATAGAAATATAAATTAAAACTACTAATGAAATACCACAACACATCCACCAAAATGACTAAAAATAAGAAAAGACTGACAAAACAGTGTTGACAAGTGTGTTGAGCAATTACAACTCTCATAAATTGTTGGTGGAAATTTGAAATGGTATCATCACTGGAGAAACAGTTTGTCAGTTTCCTATAAACTAAATATTAACTTTCTCCGTAATGTAGTGATGACATTCCTAGACATGTACTTAAGATAAATGAAAAATGTTCGCAAAAACCTGTACAAGAATATTAATAGCCACTTTATAATAATTTAAAACTGGAAACTACTCCAATATCACCGAGAAAACATTAGTGTATTTAACAATTGAATGCTACGCAGAGATAAAGAAAAATTACTGATGCATGCAACTCTGATTAATACCAAAAAACAATACAATAATGGAAAGAAACCTTACACTAAAGAGCACATGCGATATGATTCCATGCATGTAAACTTTTATGACCATGAAATTATTCTATTTTGGAAAAAAGTCAGGTGCTTGTCTTGAGAGTGGGGTGAGGGGATTTTCTAGAAACACACATAGGGAAATGATTTGAGTTGGTTGTATTGTTTTATATATTGGTAGAGGTAAGGATTACTAAGGACAGGTATTTTTTCAGAACCTAGTGAATAGACAATTAAAATTTGTTTTATTTCATTTGAGTAAATTATAACAAAATATTGAACCTTGGTTAATGACACGGATGCTGAAGTATTTAGGGGAAGGTGCAGTGATGCTTCCAATTTACTTTGAAAGGCATCATAAATAAGACAGCTTGATGGGTGGATAGAGAAAAAGGTGTATCTGTTGAAATGTGATAAACAATTATAATATAATGTTAGTAGAAGACCAGGTTTTAAGCACATAGGGATTCAGTGTAAACATTTTTCAAATTTACAGTAAATTTGAAAATTATATTACTATGCTAGAAAATAATTATCTGATTATTTGTATAATCATTAATGTTTTCCAATAATATTTCCTACTATATAACTTACATTTCTTATTTCCATAGCTATACTTCTTTAAATAACAAAAAATGACTACATACATTTAAAATAAAAATAGATTTAATGCTCTAACAGCAATTAAAAATATATAATTAAGTAGTCCTTTTTATATATCTTGTATATAGGCTCTAATGTATGGCACAAAAAATAATATACTATATATAATTTAGGTGATTAGTTCAAGCCTATGTCTGAAATATCAGTTTTGTGCATTTTACCTGTGTAAATTTGGCACCATTGTCAAATCTACACATAAACATTCTAGCATAAACATCTCTTTTAATTTATGTAACTTAAAATACATGAAAAAGAGGGAAACTACAATTTCATTGAACTTACTCTTTAACAGGTATGAGAGCTGTAAAATATAGATATGGCAACAAATACATAAAGCACTGGAATAGAGAGAAAAATTACTACACATGAAGCAAATAATCTCTCACTTATTACAAAGTGGGAAAATCAGGAAAGGTTAGCTGTTGGTATCTTAGATAAGTGCTTGACATAGCTCATACAACATATTTGAAAAGAGAAATTTTAAAAAAACCTAGAAATTAGATTGCATCAATAAAATAGGTGCCGATGTTAATTATAACCTCATTTTCTAAGCCTTTAAAGTATGTGCATTTCTCTTGAACCACCATAAAGGAGAATAAAAAATAGAAAAAAACTTCTATTAAACTTCTATTAGTGTTTAGAATGACTCAACATCATAAATAGGTCAGCTTTTATAAGGAAAGTTATAAATGTAATGTCATCACAATAAAAATACCAAAAAATGCTTGTGAGGAGCAAGAGAAGTTAATAATGAAGTTCACAGGGGAAGAAGCATGCAAAACTGTTAAGAAATCAATGAAAAAGAAAACTGTAAGGAATGATTGGCAACCTATGATGTTTTAATATATAAAAATCTTTATTTTAAAACAGTGGAGTATGGGCATGTAAGTAGGCAACTGTACAAATCCACAAAGGCTGTCTAGAAATAAACCTACATATGAAATTGGATATCTGATACAAATAGCATCTAAATATTCAGATCAAAGACAAACTCCAACAAATAGTTCCGGGACAACTAGTTGACCACTTGAAAAACATGTACTATTAGATCCAAATATCATAATGTGCAAAAGAATAAATTCAAAGTGAAACCAAAATTTAAATGTAAGCAAACACGGAAACAAACAATAAGGAAAATATTTACAACAACCATAATAACATATGGATGTATTTCTCTGCAGCATGAAAGCAGAAAAAGTTTTGTTTTGTTTTTAACTATGACTCAGAATTCAGACTTAAAAAACAAAAGGAAAAACAAAATACAGGTTGGGCATGGTGGCTCATGCCTGTAATCCCAGCACTTTGGGAGGCTGAGGCAGGCGGATCACTTGAGGCCATGAGTTCGAGACCAGCCTGGCCAACATGGTGAAACCCCATCTTTACTAAAAATATAAAAATTAGCTGGGCATAGTGGTGGGCACCTGTAATCCCAGCTATTCGGGAGGCTGAGGCGGGAGAATCGCTTGAACCTGGGAGGTGGAGGTTGCAGTGAGCCTAGCTCATGACACTGCACTCCAGCCTGAGCAACAAAGCGAGACTCCATCTCAAAAAAAAAAAAAGAAAAAGAAAAAGAAAATATAATATTGATGAATTTTCCGTAAAAAAAATTTATCGGATAACAAGCACTATAAATACTATCAAAAGACAACTGACAGTTGGAAAAAAAATGAAAAGTCTATTACAGATAAACAACTAATATCCCTAATATTAAAAAATTTAAGATCTTATAGAAAAATGGGCCAAAAATCACAGAAAATTCACAACAAATATATATGAATGGCTCTTAAACTTAGCAAAATATGTTCAGCTTTACTGAACATATGAAATATGAAATATGTTCAGAATTAGAGAAGTGGAAATTAAAGCTGCGTGACATGCCATTTATCACCTAAGAGAACGGCAAAAGTTTAAATGAGTATGAGGACACATGCTATTGGAGACGCAGTGGGAAACCAGCACTAAGATGTTTCTGTGAAAAAGCAAATTGATACATCCTTCTTGGCAATATCTAACATATTACATATATTTTACCTTTTTAGCAGCAATTTCAATTCTAGAAATTACCATTATGGCAGACATTAAAAAACATATGTACAAAGCGAATCATTACAATACAGTTTGTAATTGCAAAAAGTTGAAAAAAAGCTAAATGCCCATATGTAGGACTGAATGAACTCTGACATATCCATACAATGGAGGATCTTGAAGCTGTAAAGAGACAGGAAAAGTCTACGTATGCATATTTGCAGTTCATAACTGTCTGATAAAAGGACCTAGAAGCAAAGACATTCCATTATGAGTAAGGACACCTAGTGTCCATATTTTGGTTTCTAAATTTATTTTCCACACAAAAGAAGGAGAGCTTCTTGCAGAAATACCCAATTCTTAATACAGTTGATCTGAATCATCTTTTTGTGCTTTTCAAAAAGTAAAGGACCATGTAAAGAATAATGGTGACAATTCAAAGGACATATGAGCAACCTTTGAGGGATTTCCAGAGGCCAAATCTAAAACAGTGTAAGCATTGGTAATACTAATTATATTTATGGATTATGAGCCATTGAATAAAATAAGGAACCATGAATTCATACATACCTAATTAAATACATGCTTACATAATTAAATGGGACAGTACTGAAAAGTTTTCTTCATGCTAGAATACCAACTAACAAGTGTAGGATGAATGATAAAACTGGAAAATCACCAGGTGGCATCATAGTAATGACAGTTTCAGGCAAAAATTACCTGGATGCTAATACAGCGAATACAATTTTGACAAGAAATTAGATATTTGACATGGTCTTAAAATAGCTCCCCAGTTTATTACAAATTAATTACAAAGAGAAAGTGGAAACTTTAAAGTGAAGAAAAGCAAATGATCAAAGTTAACCTCACCGGTACAGAGAAAAAATAAGTATGATATCCAGGTGCTATAATTTACTGTGAAGGGCACAACAGTAATTTGATGGTATTCCTGCCCAAAATGCATAATGTAATCATTAGAAAATATCATGAAAGCCAAGTCAAGGTCATTCAACAAAATAATAAGCCTGTTCCCTTACACGAAAAAAAATGTCAAAGTCATAAAAGACAAACAGAGACTGTGGAATTGTTCCACATTAAAGGACATGAGTGAGGTGTGTGCCACATATGGTGCTGGTTTAGACCCTGGACCAGGAAAGACATTGTTTTACCGTATTTGTTATAATAAATGTTAGTTGAATAATTGATACAACTTATACAATGAATGCAGATAATAGGATTCTACTTCTGTGAATTTTCTTTTTTTTTTTTTTTTTTTTTTTGAGACGGAGTTTCGCTCTGTCGCCCAGGCTGGAGTGCAGTGGCGCGATCTCAGCTCACTGCAAGCTCCGCCTCCCGGGTTCACGCCATTCTCCTGCCTCAGCCTCCCGTGTAGCTGGGACTACAGGCACGCGCCACCATGCCCGGCTAATTTTTGTATTTTTAGTAGAGACGGGGTTTCACCGTGTTAGCCAGGATGGTCTCGATCTCCTGACCTCGTGATCCGCCCGTCTCGGCCTCCCAAAGTGCTGGGATTACAGGTGTGAGCCACCGCTGTGAATTTTCTAATTTTGATCATTGCACTGTAGTTAAGCCCCCCACCCCCTACAAAAAAGTCCTAGCTTTTAGAAAACACTCAATGAAGAATTTAAAACTAAAGGACATCACATTAGTAACTTAGTTTCAAATATTTCATAAAATTTGTGATATCTCTAACTGAAGGGAAGAACACATGAAAAGTATTTGTACTGTTCTTCCAAATTTACTGTCAAATCCAAAACTATTTCAAAATGAAAACCTTAGAAATATCTATATATATTATGTATTTCTGTTATATGTTACATAAGTATATAATGCAAATAAAATAATATATATTTGATATTATATTCAATTAATTTTAGATGCTAATTAACCTAGAAAACACTAAAATTTCAGAATTGTTAAATGGAGGTTTAAATAAGGTATATCCTATGAAGTGTAAAATATTCCTAACTATAAATTGGTAGAGACACACATTATACCTATCTTTGTTTATTTATTATTTTTTAAGATCTCACCTGTGTCATCAGCTCTCTGGGAACACTAGAGTAATTAAATTCTCACCAGTTAAATGTGTAGAATAATTAAACCTGTCAAAATCTCCAGTGTGCACTAATCCTGAGGCTATTCAAATAAACAAAACCAGGCAACATAAATGGAGTCACTTTAAGGTCATTTTTTAGTATTTTGAGTTAAAGAAGAATGACATGTTAAACTATATAAAACATCTAATGTGGAACTTATAAGACTTGGTGAGAAATATTTTTAGAGTAGAAATATTAACATAACAAATAATGCAGGTTGACAACTATTTATTGTTTCCTGACGGTCATCCTCTAATAATTAGCTTTACCATTCCACATGTTTTGCATAAAGAAATAAAAAAGGCATATTTGGTAGAAGAAAAAATTGTGAGTTGTGAGTTAATGTTCAGTATTAACAAAAGATGAGGCTTCTCAACACACAGGCACTAGGTCCAAAACACTGTGAAATCTATTTAAGAAATTATTATAAATTCAGTGTAAAAAGTAAAGACAAAAACCAGTCCTGTCATCTTTTTGCATACAACTTCAATACCAAGAAAATTCTTAGTCTAGATGGCATCATAAGTTCATACTTTTGAGTTTTTCCTCTGCTTCAGATATACAGCAATGATAAGCTGAATAAAAAGGTGCAGCCAAGAAATAAAAGAAAAAGTTCATGGACAATAATAAGCATAACAGAAACAAACAAAAAACGATGTGAAATTAGATCTGCTGACTTGATCTGAGAATACAAGCTTGCAAAGATGGACTGGAGTTTCATCTCCTTGAAGGACAGTGAGTACTTAAATCAACCAATATGACATATACAACAGGAGCCAGACAGGCTGCCTGAAGTAAAGATTTATTGTCAAGTCCCTCTGCCCTTGAAAAGAGGCTGAAAAGTGCTACTGCTGAGCTGCTGAGCTGTACCTGTAACTAGGGCTTCTATAAATCTGTTTTCCTAGGAATTCGGGAGACAGCAGGTTGTGGACTTCATCCAGGCTAGAGAGTTCCCTTAACTCTTGGTTCTACAATATTGCCAAAGGTAGTAGGAAGACTGCAAATGCAGATTGCAAATGCCCCCCCTACGGGGTCATTCAGAGGAAGAACAGAAAAAAATCATCACCGAAGCAGAGAGAAAGTTTACTCAAGTGTGCAAACCAAAATTCTAAAATATGTGAGCAAAACTTCAAAAGTTAGGCAAGGAAATCAACAATCAGGAGATACATCTACTGATACGTAAAGAAAACAGTAAAGTGATTGTAAAAAATGCATGCTTAGAATTTTCAAAATGTAAGTGAAAAACAGCATTTATAAAAAGGAAAAGAAATTATTAAATGAGTAAAAACAGGCAGAAATGAAGCAAGGAAAAATGGATATAAAAATAATTAATTAGAAAACCTTGAAATAAAAAATATATCCTAAAAAGAGTTGAATGACCTCGATAGAGACAATAAACTCTAAGCCACACATGATCAGAGAAGTAGGGCACTAGTGCATAATTTCAGGAATTCATCCAAGACACAGTACAAAAAAAAAAGCATTTTTAAAAAATATATATATAAGGGATTCTATTTGGTCTGGTATAAATTCATTTGATTACTGAATTAATTATCTGTGTTCACCCTTCTTCAGAGCAAACAAACAATCATCTTAATACAAGTGGTAAGTGCCATTCATCATATTTTTGCTGAGGAATGATTGTCTTTAATTAATTAATTAACTAATTTAGAGATAGCATCTCACTCCACCCAGGCTAGAGTGCAGCAGTGTGATCCTAGCTCACTGAAGCCTCAAATTCCTGGGCTCAAGTGATCCTCCCACCTCAGCCTCCTGAGAAGCTGAGATTATAGATGTGTGATACCGTGTCCTGCTTTTTTTTTTTTTTTTTTGGGTAGAAATAGGGTCTCCCTATGTTGCCCTGTTTGGTCTCAAGCTCCTGAGTTCAAGCAATCCTCCCGCCTCAGTCTTCCAAAGCGTTGGGATTACAGGCATGAGCCACTGTACCTGACCCTTATTTTTATTTTGTGAGAAGAAAAATTTGTTGGTATCTAAAGTAATTTGGGACCTATAGATATGTTCCTGAACACCAAACAGAACAGTGACAATATATTTGGGGCATAGAAAAAGGAACAAAATTTCCATTTTTAATGCGTAAAATTTGAGATTTTTTTTCCACACTCACATGGAAAGGTCATACAGGTCTCTCCACAGATTAACCTAGAGCTTCTAGAGAGGGCTCGCAGAAGGGAAGAGAGGGAAGAGAGCTTCTAGAGAGGGCTTGCAGAAGGGAAGAGAGAGCAGGGCTAGACTGGGGTTCCCAGGCACTCAGCTTTTAAAGTTCAAGTACAGAAAGATGATTTAACAAAGGAACTTTAAAGCAGTGGCCAGGGAAGTGGAGGAAAACCAGAAACACCTCTGATCCTAGAATAGGAGAGAAGAAATGATTTAAATGGGGCCTTGGGGCAAAGATGGAAGGGGAGGTTGTGTTTGAAAATTCAGAATGCTGCTGAGCAGCCTTTAAGATATTGAAAGAGAAATGGCCCCTGGATTGAAAACTTGGGGTTGTTTTGATCTTAGCTATAGCAGTGTCATTGGGGTTGTAGTGAGAAGTTGCGTTTTAATGAGTGAAGAGAATAGGCGAAAAACGAGACCAGGAGTTCAGACAATATTCTAGCTGAAGAGGCAAATAATCAACATTGGTTTGTAATTATTTGCAATTAAATAAGCTGGATAATTATAGTTAGTGATAGATATTATGAAGGAAATAATAGAGAGTGATCTTGGTGGGGCTAATTTAAATTTGTTGCAAACTTTGGACTTTAAAATTAAAGTATAGTTAGGAGGGTTCGTTTCTGGAGAAAGAATAATACTTTCCTTGTTGGCAGTTTGGGGAAGAGAAAAAAATAAACATTCTTAAATTTGACAATGATTGTTTTGTTTCTCTCATCTCACTGTTCTTTTGGCTGTGACAGAATCATTACTTCTTGACCACTCAAAGACCTTCAGCCCTTTTCAGCTTTCCAATTCCCCCTACTGCACAAAATTACATCTTTGTAATGTTATAGACAAAAAGGAACCAACTTATAAAGAAAGTTTAAACTTGCTCTCTTGGTTTTATTAATACTTTAATCTGAGGAAGCAGATCAAAGTGGATTTTTTCTCTTTATGCACCAAGACTTCAGAATAAAAGTTATAAACTTTCCAAATTGTTCTCATATAAAAAATTTATATATTTCCGTTAAAAATGTTATGCAAAATTTGACAGAAAAATAACATCCATTAGTAGACATCAAAGGCATCCAAACAGCAAAGGTGTTCCAAATTGCTTTTTAAAAATGATTATTCAACTTTCAAACTAACACTATAAAAATACTTAATGATTTACTCTGAGTAGAAAGTGCAGTGATGAAGTGATGTCCTAGGCATCAGAAGACTAATCAACAGTGTGTTGTCAGCCCAAATGGGATGATGCGGAGAGAGAGGTGTAGTTCAAAGCAGACAGATGGAAAATGCCTGTCAAACACTATTTCAGGTGGTGAAAAATCTCATAAATTCTGGGAACAAAGGAGATACTCTTAATGTTAAGGGTGAAACAATTTGAAAAAGTAAAGTAAAGCTAAGCAAGTAGAATATTGACAAGTGTTGCAGCACCTTGTCGTATAATCTCTGCAGATTTCAGTTAAAAAATCGTAATATGGTCTG
The DNA here is from genome assembly GCF_000001405.40 of Homo sapiens. Taxonomy (NCBI): domain Eukaryota; kingdom Metazoa; phylum Chordata; class Mammalia; order Primates; family Hominidae; genus Homo; species Homo sapiens. Next base: position 179,648,958 of record NC_000004.12, on the reverse strand, counting down.
GGTAGCATGGTTCAGGCCTGTAATCCCTGCACTTTGGGATGCCGAGGTGGGCGGATCACTTGAGAACAGGAGTTCAAGACTAGCCTGGTCAACATAGTGAAATCCCATCTCTACTAAAAATACAAAAAATTAGCTGGGCGTGGTGGTGGACACCTGTAATCCCAGCTACTTGGGAGACTGAGGCAGCAGAATCACATGAACCTGGGAGGCAAAGGTTGCAGTGAACTGAGATCATGCCACTGCACTCCAGCCTGGGCAACAGAGCAAGACTCTGTCTCAGAAAAAAAAAAAAAAAAATCATTAGATGAATAGTTTTTATTACCCCAAACTGCTGACTTCTTTTTTTTCTTTTTTCTTTTTCTTTTTTTTTTTTTTTTTTTGAGATGGAGTCTTGCTCTGTTGCCCAGGCAGGAGGGCAGTGGCGCGATCTCAGCTCACTGCAAGCTCCGCCTCCCGGGTTCACGCCATTCTCCTGCCTCAGCCTCCCGAGTAGCTGGGACTACAGGCACCCGCCACCACGCCTGGCTATTTTTTTTTTATTTTTTTAGTAGAGATGTGGTTTCACCGTGTTCGCCGGGATGGTCTCGATCTCCTGACCTCGTGATCCGCCCGCCTCGGCCTCCCAAAGTGCTGGACTTATAGGCGTGAGCCACAGCGCCTGGCCTGCTGACTTCTTTTATGGGGATAACTATGTATTAAAATTCACACTTCTGATGTCACAATTGATAAGTAATGTAATTTCATGTGACCATCTCTCTAATTATGTATGTATTAAATATTATCACTTTGTTTTATTTAGAGGTAAACTGAAACTCAATTTGTATAAAATCATGACATATTTATGAAATTCAACTGAATATTTTGAACATTTTATATCTTCCAATTATGAGTGATAAACACATAACAGAAAAGTGCTCAAAAGTATAGCACACAGCTCAATAAATTATTTCAAATTGAACATCCAGACAGACTCCACTGGGAAACCTACTTCATTTCTCCAGCTAATCAATACCTTCTCCCTGCTCTTCAAAAGATTTTCATGGTAACCGCTTAGTTGCTTATGCTTATTATTTTATCAGCTACAAATTCATCCCTAAACACTGTAGTTTGGTGTTGCCTTGTTTTGAAATTTGTATAAATAGATTCATCTATTCTTTTAAGTTAACATCGTATGCCGAATATTATGTTTGGGAGTTTCTACTATATTGTTGCCTGTCGTGTGGTTTATTTTCATTGTTAGGTGGTAATTAAGTATATGAAAATACCACGACTTATTTAAACATACTGCTATGATGGAATCTGGGTTATTTATAATTTTCAGCTATTATTGCTTACATGTAAGAAGTATATGTACATACATTTCTACTGGGCATGTATGCAGGAATAGAAATTTCGGTCATAATATGTACACCTTCTCAGTCTTTAAATTTGAATCCACTTAATGGACTATGGATACGCAAATGAGGTTTTATTTCATTTTTTCTCTGATTAGTAAGGGGATTGAACAAAATACAGACAGAGTGTTAACTTCCAGCTAGTTGAGGGGAACTTTAGGCTTTTTCTCCAATGGTGTCTGGAACTACGGTATTAATCTCTGGCCAAGATCAGGGTGAAATATACTAGGTAGTGATTTATACTATGCAGTTCAATATCAGAATCTGCCTAGAAGCACCGGACACCAGTGTGGATAGGATGTTCTGTAAAAATGCGTACATGGATGTTCTGCACCTGGTTTATCTGGTTACACGTATGCTTTTAGATACATGACTGATGAAATATAAGAGAGCCTCAATAAAATTGTAACCTTGTGGTTAATAATCCTAAGATAAGGCATACACGATGAAATAGTCAAAGGACCCAAGTCCTGCACCTGAAAGTCTTAGACCTTTCTGATTTGTGCTATTACTTATTTTCTTCACTGCATCTGTTAAGTCTAGTGAAGCTTTATGTGGACGTACTCTGTACTTTCAACTATCTGATTCTGTGTAATAACTACAATCCACTTTTTATGTTTTAATGGTCATTTGGATGAAGTAAAATTATTAAAGGCCTATTTAAATCTATATGAGTCTCTATGTTGTATGACTTTCTCCATGTTTTCCCATTGATTTCTCTAAGTTCCCTATAACTTACAAATAGGATCTCTTTATGGTCATATACATATATACTGTAAAAATTTCCTTCACTTGATTTCTTATCTTCATAATGCTGTAGATTCTCAATACTGATAAGATTCTGTCAGATATTCCTTATGTTCGTCCTCATTCATTTCTAGAAGTTCCTTATAATTTATAAACATGAGTTATTTATGGTTACATATATTGCAAAAGTCTTCTATTAATGAAAGAACGTAACTAATTTAAATACAGCTGTGGTAGGCAGAATTCTAAGATGGCCCCAAATTTCTGCCCTTTGTTGTCACCAGAGCTAGAACCTAAGAGTGGCCCCTCTCAAAGAGAACCTCATTCCCACAACCACAAGGAACTGAAATATATCAGACCATATGGGATCAGAAACTCCCAGATGATACTACAGGGCAGCTGACACTTTATTTTTAATGTTAAGAGACCCTAAGCAGAGAACCTAGCTCTGCCATTTCTGGCCTTCTGATCTACAAGACTGAAAGCTGGTAAACAGGTGTTGTTTTAAGCCACTAAATTTGCAGTAATTGTTACACAGCAATAAAAAATTAATACATAGTTCTATTGATCAATTGTTCCCTTTGTGATTTTTTTTGTGTTTTGTTAAAAATGGTCACCTTACATCAAAATCATGAACATTTTATGTCTCTTGGTGTTTTATTGATTTGTTTTCATATTTAAATGTACCATCAAAATTATCCTCAGATGGTAAGGTTTCCTAGGTGGAAATTTCAAACACTTCTATGGATAATTTTTTATAATAAATGAATTTAGTCATGTCATGAGGAATGCCATTTGGAGTAGTTCAAAAATACTTTATAATAATGTAGTGAAAGATATGCAAGCTGTGTATGCAGAAAAATATAGATCATTATTGAGAAAAATAAATTAAAACAAAGTATAAAGGAGTATAGCTTATGCCATTCCAACATGCATGAACTCTCCTTCTATAGACTTTGCCAATTAATTTCAAGATGCTCTAAAGATTCATTGCAATTCCAGTGAAAATTGCAGTTTTGTTGTTGCTATTATCTTTTATTTCATTTTTATATCAATTATGAAATTTACAGGGAATTAAAAATTGCTGAGACTCACACCTGTAATCCCAGCACTTTGAGAGGCCAAGGTTGGTGGATCACTTGAGCCCAGGAGTTCAAGACCAGCCTGGACAACATGGCGAAACCCCGTCTCTACAAAAAATACAAAAATTAGCCCGGCATGGTGGTGCGCCTGCAGTACCAGCTACTAGTGAGCTGAGGTGGGAGGATAGTTTGAGCCCAGAGGTGGAGGGTGCAGTGAGCCGAGATTGCACCACTGCACTCAAGGCTTGGTGACAGAGAGACTCTCTCAAAAAAAAAAAGAGAAAAAAAGGTATGAAGTTTAGACCAGATAACAAATAAATTATAGACAGACTATCAAGAACAGGAAGAGGGTGGGTGATATAATGGTCCACACTGGCTTCAGGCCACAAGGAGATAAACTGTCTATACAGATTTTTAAAATTATAATAAAAATGACAAGATGTTGGTTACTTTTTATCAACATGAACTGGAATTCTAAACAATGTGAGTGAAAAAGGATTTCTAACTTTCATAACAGTAATTCCTATTTCCCTCTTTTGTTATGCTGGTGAGATTATTAAAAAGTAAATTAAGCAAGACAGTATGGTGGTAACGCAAATGTAGACAAAACTTCCAATAGGATCAAATAGTCCAGAACTGGCGCAAATATAACATTGGCTTTGTGACAAAGGTGGCACTCTCTAGCAGTAGAAAAGGATGGTCTTTCCAATCAATGATGCTAGGTACACTATGGGGAAAAATTAAACTTTGACTTTTACACCAAGTAAAAAATTAATTGTAGATGGTTGTATGTAAAATTTGTGACAGGTATGTTTATAGTAAACACTTGGTTTTCAATCATATGTTTAGCTGTTTAAAAATTTCTTATTTTCATCATAGTAAGTAAATTATATCCCATACTACATGGCAAATCTTATTTTAAAAATACCTTTGCTACTTAATTTTTGTGGTCTTTGTGTAAGAACTTGCAAACTTTCCAGTCCTAACCACTCTGAATAAATGATAAATTATGTATTTTGAGAGTTGGACAGTTATTAACACTTAGAATCTGGGCATATGGATAAGAGAAGCCATTGGACAAATAAATGACAGGAAACTTAAAAGCCAAAATGTTTAGGTGAAAATCTCTCTGCTTGTGTACTCATAGGATGATTCTTTTGGGTGAGGTTCAGAGCATCAGATTATGCATTTCTGTGTCAGCCACCTCTTGAAATAACTCCTCCAACATATTACAAATACTTGTGTGTTAATTTTAGGCTATGACATATTTTAGGGCTGACATTTGAGTCTTCGGTCTCTCAAATTAAAGCTTTTCAGAGTGAAGAAAAATTTATCATACAACACCAGATGTTTAGTATTATTTAAACTCAACATCTGGATAACGAGACATTTTTTCTTCTTTACCCAAATGATTTTATGTCATGAGAGCATAATCACTATGTCTTCTGTAAGGGTAGAAGAAGCATCTCTCTTTAATAATCGATAAAACCGTATTTGATAAACTAATGCACCTATTAAGGCAAAAAAAATGGAGCATAGCAAAGCTGGTACTTTAAAGAGTCTAGAACACAGAGAATAGAAATGTACAATATATTTGATCTTATTTGGACTTAAAAATATTTATGAAGCATTTCAGAAATTTTGCTTTATAATAGAAGTTTATGTTAGCATGAATTAGCTTAACCTTGAACATATTAACAGAATTCTCCTATGAAAAACTGATTGACAGAATATATTATGGATTTTGTAGCATTATTAAAATTCCTGATACATAATACATCTTCAATAAACACTTGCTGAATTAAATCAGAGCTAGATATGACAGAATATCTGGTATAATAGACTATTATAGTGAGTTTTATGAACCCAGGATTTAAATGTAGTTGTATATCATTTACTTTTCTAAGTAAACACCAAGGCACAACTGACCATTAGCAACATAAATACTAGTATATCTTCCTCCTCTGTCTATTTGTCCAAGAATTGTTAAGTTATTCAGTCCCAAGAGCTCAGTTCTTCTCCCATGCTCCAAGTAGAGAACAAAATAGAAAATGTCATTCCTTCACAGGTGCTATTTGCTTATGGTCCTGCTACACAAATTCAAAATGGCGTTTGTTTCATTTGATGGATTGTTATTCAGGGCTTCCATAAGTAATTTACTCCCTAAGATTGATATAATAGTCCTATATACTTGAGCCCCAACTTTATGTTCTTGGTGTCTCCAGCCTAGAGTCTCCCTTCTCACGATAAGGTTGGTTCCCTTTGGGGATTTTGATGTCCTTTCCTTAATGTAGGGCCACCAGACAAGCTTCCCAAACTTTGAATCACTAAAGAAGCTTTTCTAGAAAACAAACTAAACTAAAAAGTTTGGTTTCCCAAGGCATCCAATAAAAGGTGTATTACTTTGTCACAAAAAAAGTTTTAATCTTATTCAATTTACAGTCTGCGATTCAAAAACAAAACAAAACAAAAATATAGTCTCCTATTTTGTTAAAATAAGAAATAAATTGTTTTTAAGAAAATGGGACCAATTTTTACAGTGATAGGATAATTGTATTAACTTGATGCTTTTTCTCTTCTGTTCAGTGCGCACAAAATAAAATGATACAGTTAGCCAAATAATTAAGGATTGTAAGGCAACTGGGACACTTTGAAATAATGTTCAAAATTGCTAATATGGGCAGATAAAATGATCATACCTGGTTTTTTTCATTAGTTATCTTCATTTCACATGGTTTTTATCAACAAAATTAAACAAAACACTATGGTAACAATATAAATATATCCAGGAAGAAAATCAATACAAAATACATATAGGTGTCTATGTACCATAAGATTCTTAAGTAGGTTAGCTGAAAAAAATTTCTCTAATTTCCACAAGTCTATGTCAAAATATAGAAACATGCATTCTCTCTACCTGGTGAACACTCATTATGCTACAATTTATATTTCCACGATATTATGAGTTTTGATTAGGGGATATAGAACACTTGGAGATCCGGTGGCAAAAGTTACCTTTTAAATGGAAGTTTCTTTTTATTTTTCTTTTTTATTTTATTTTATTATTATTATACTTTAAGTTTTAGGGTACATGTGCACAATGTGCAGGTTAGTTACATATGCATACATATGCCATGCTTGTGTGCTGCACCCATTAACTCCTCATTTAGCATTAGTTATATCTCCTAATGCTATCCTTCCCCCTCCCCCCACCCCACAACAGTCCCCAGAGTGTGATGTTCCCCTTCCTGTGTCCATGTGTTCTCATTGTTCAATTCCCACCTATGAGTGAGAATATGCGGTGTTTGGTTTTTTGTCCTTGTGATAGTTTACTGAGAATGATGATTTCCAACTTCATCCATGTCCCTACAAAGGACATGAACTCATCATTTTTTATGGCTGCATAGTATTCCATGGTGTATATGTGCCACATTTTCTTAATCCAGTCTATCATTGTTGGACATTTGGGTTGGTTCCAAGTCTTTGCTATTGTGAATAGTGCCGCAATAAACATACGTGTGCATGTGTCTTTATAGCAGCATGATTTATAGTCCTTTGGGTATATACCCAGTAATGGGATGGCTGGGTCAAATGGTATTTCCAGTTCTAGATCCCTGAGGAATCGCCACACTGACTTCCACAATGGTTGAACTAGTTTACAGTCCCACCAACAGTGTAAAAGTGTTCCTATTTCTCCACATCCTCTCCAGCACCTGTTGTTTCCTGACTTTTGAATGATTGCCATTCTAACTTGTGTGAGATGGTATCTCATTGTGGTTTTGATTTGCATTTCTCTGATGGCCAGTGATGATGAGCATTTTTTCATGTGTCTTTTGGCTGCATAAATGTCTTCTTTTGAGAAGTGTCTGTTCATATCCTTCCCCCCATTTTGATGGGGTTGTTTGTTTTTTCTTGTAAATTTGTTTGAGTTCATTGTAGATTCTGGATATTAGCCCTTTGTCAGATGAGTAGGTTGTGAAAATTTTCTCCCATTTTGTAGGTTGCCTGTTCACTCTGATGGTAGTTTCTTTTGCTGTGCAGAAGCTCTTGAGTTTAATTAGATCCCACTTGTCAATTTTGTCTTTTGTTGCCATTGCTTTTGGTGTTTTAGACATGAAGTCCTTGCCCATGCCTATGTCCTGAATGGTAATGCCTAGGTTTTCTTCTAGGGTTTTTATGGTTTTAGGTCTAACGTTTAAGTGTTTAATCCATCTTGAATTAATTTCTGTATAAGGTGTAAGGAAGGGATCCAGTTTCAGCTGTCTACATATGGCTAGCCAGTTTTCCCAGCACCATTTATTAAATAGGGAATCCTTTCCCCATTGCTTGTTTTTCTCAGGTTTGTCAAAGATCAGATAGTTGTAGATATGCGGCATTATTTCTGAGGGCTCTGCTCTGTTCCATTGATCTATATCTCTGTTTTGGTTCCAGTACCATGCTGTTTTGGTTACTGTAGCCTTGTAGTATAGTTTGAAGTCAGATAGTGTGATGCCTCCAGCTTTGTTCTTTTGGCTTACGATTGACTTGGCGATGCAGGCTCTTTTTTGGTTCCGTATGAACTTTAAAGTAGTTTTTTCCAATTCTGTGAAGAAAGTCATTGGTAGCTTGATGGGGATGGCATTCAATCTACAAATTACCTTGGGCAGTATGGCCATTTTCATGATATTGATTCTTCCTACCCATGAGCATGGAATGTTCTTCCATTTCTTTGTATCCTCTTTTATTTCATTGAGCAGTGGTTTGTAGTTCTCCTTGAAGAGGTCCTTCATGTCCCTTGTAAGTTGGATTCCTAGGTATTTTATTCTCTTTGAAGCAATTGTGAATGAGAGTTCACTCATAGTTTGGCTCTCTGTTTGTCTGTTATTGCTGTATAGGAATGCTTGTAATTTTTGCATCTTGATTTTGTATCCTGAGACTATGCTGAAGTAGCTTATCAGCTTAAGGATATTTTGGACTGAGACAATGGGGTTTTCTAAATATACAATTATGTCATCTGCAAACAGAGACAATTTGACTTCCTCTTTTCCTAATTGAATGCTCTTTGTTTCTTTCTCCTGCCTGATTGCCCTGGCCAGAACTTCCAACACTATGTTGAATAGGAGTGGTGAGAGAGGGCATCCCTGTCTTGTGCCAGTTTTCAAAGGGAATGCTTCCAGTTTTCGCCCATTCAGCATGATATTGGCTGTGGGTGTGTCATAGATAGCTCTTATTATTTTGAGATATGTCCCATCAATACCTAATTTATTGAGAGTTTTTAGCATGAAGGGTTGTTGAATTTTGTCAAAGGCCTTTTCTGCATCTATTGAGATAATCATGTGTTTTTTTTTTTGGTTCTGTTTATATGCTGGATTACATTTATTGATTTGCATATATTGAACCAGCCTTGCATCCCAGGGATGAAGCCCACTTGATCGTGGTGGATAAGGTTTTTGATGTGCTGCTGGATTCAGTTTGCCAGTATTTTATTGAGGATTTTTGCATCAATGTTCATCAAGGATATTGGTCTAAAATTATCTTTTTTGGTTGTGTCTCTGCCTGGCTTTGGTATCAGGATGATGCTGGCCTCATAAAATGAGTTAGGGAGGATTCCCTGTTTTTCTATTCATTGGCATAGTATCAGAAGGAATGGTACCAGTTCCTCCTTGTACCTCTGGTAGAATTCGGCTGTGAATCCATCTTGTCCTGGACTCTTTTTGGTTGATAAGCTATTGATTATTGCCACAACTTCAGAGCCTGCTATTGGTCTATTCAGAGATTCAATTTCTTCCTGATTTAGTCTTGGGAGAGTGTATGTGTCAAGGAATTTATCCCTTTCTTCTAGATTTTCTAGTTTATTTGTGTAGAGGTGTTTGTAGTATTCTTTGATGGTAGTTTGTATTTCTGTGGGATCGGTGGTGATATCCCCTTTATCATTTTTTATTGTGTCTATTTGATTCTCCTCTCTTTTCTTCTTTATTAGTCTTGCTAGTGGCCTATCAATTTTGTTGATCCTTTCAAAAAACCAGCTCCTGGATTCGTTAAGTTTTGAAGGGTTTTTTGTGTCTCTATTTCCTTCAGTTCTGCTCTGATTTTAGTTATTTCTTGCCTTCTGCTAGCTTTTGAATGTGTTTGCTCTTGCTTTTCTAGTTCTTTTAATTGTGATGTTAGGGTGTCAATTTTGGACCTTTCCTGCTTTCTCTTGTGGGCATTTAGTGCTATAAATTTCCCTCTACACACTGCTTTGAATGTGTCCCAGAGATTCTGGTATGTTGTGTCTTTGTTCTCGTTGGTTTCAAAGAACATCTTTATTTCTGCCTTCATTTCGTTATGTACCCAGTAGTCATTCAGGAGCAGGTTGTTCAGTTTGCATGTAGTTGAGTGGTTTTGAGTGAGTTTCTTAATGCTGAGTTCTAGTTTGATTGCACTGTGGTCTGAGAGACAGTTTGTTATAAAATTTTTGTTCTTTTACATTTGCTGAGGAGAGCTTTGCTTCAAACTATGTGGTCAATTTTGGAATAGGTGTGGTGTGGTGCTGAAAAAAATGTATATTCTGTTGATTTGGGGTGGAGAGTTCTGTAGATGTCTATTAGGTCCACTTGGTGCAGAGCTGAGTTCAATTCCTGGATATCCTTGTTAACTTTCTGTCTCGTTGATCTGTCTAATATTGACAGTGGGGTGTTAAAGTCTCCCATTATTATTGTGCGGGAGTCTAAGTCTCTTTGTAGGTCACTCAGGACTTGCTTTATGAATGTGGGTGCTCCTGTATTGGGTGCATATATATTTAGGATAGTTAGCTCTTCTTGTTGAATTGATCCCTTTACCATTATGTAATGGCCTTCTTTGTCTCTTTTGATCTTTGTTGGTTTCAAGTCTGTTTTATCAGAGACTAGGATTGCAACCCCTGCCTTTTTATGTTTTCCATTTGCTTGGTAGATCTTCCTCCATCCTTTTATTTTGAGCCTATGTGTGTCTCTGCGCGTGAGATGGGTTTCCTGAATATAGCACACTGATGGGTCTTGACTCTTTATCCAATTTGCCAATCTGTGTCTTTTAATTGGAGCATTTAGTCCATTTACATTTAAAGTTAATATTGTTATGTGTGAATTTGATCCTGTCATTATGATGTTAGCTGGTTATTTTGCTTTTTAGTTGGTGCAGTTTCTTCCTAGTCTCGATGGTCTTTACATTTTGGCATTATTTGGCAGCAGCTGGTACCGGTTGTTCCTTTCCATGTTTAGTGCTTCCTTCAGGAGCTCTTTTAGGGCAGGCCTGGTGGTGACAAAATCTCTCAGCATTTGCTTGTCTGTAAAGTATTTTATTTCTCCTTCACTTACGAAGCTTAGTGTGGCTGGATATGAAATTCTGGATTGAAAATTCGTTTCTTTAAGAATGTTGAATATTGGCCCCCACTCTCTTCTGGCTTGCAGAGTTTCTGCCGAGAGATCCGCTGTTAGTCTGATGGGCTTCCCTTTGTGGGTAACCCAACCTTTCTCTCTGGCTGCCCTTAACATTTTTTCCTTCATTTCCACTTTGGTGAATCTGACAATTATGTGTCTTAGAGTTGCTCTTCTCGAGGAGTATCTTTGTGGCGTTCTCTGTATTTCCTGAATCTGTATGTTGGCCTGCCTTGCTAGACTGGGGAAGTTCTCCTGGATAATATCCTGCAGAGTGTTTTCCAACTTGGTTCCATTCTCCCCATCACTTTCAGGTACACCAATTAGACGTAGATTTGGTCTTTTCACATAGTCCCATATTTCTTGGAGGCTTTATTCATTTCTTTTTATTGTTTTTTCTCTAAACTTCCCTTCTCACTTCATTTCATTCATTTCATCTTCCATCACTGATACCCTTTCTTCCAGTTGATCGCATTGGCTCCTGAGGCTTCTGCATTCTTCACGTAGTTCTTGAGCCTTGGCTTTCAGCTCCATCAGCTCATTTAAGCACTTCTCTGTATTGGTTATTCTAGTTATACATTCGTCTAAATTTTTGTCAAAGTTTTTAACTTCTTTGCCTTTCGTTTGAATTTCCTCCTGTAGCTTGGTGTAGTTTGATCATCTGAAGCCTTCTTCTCTCAACTCGTCATACTCATTCTCCATCCAGCTTTGTTCCATTGCTGGTGGGGAACTGCGTTCCTTTGGAGGAGGAGAGTTGCTCTGCTTTTTAGAGTTTCCAGTTTTTCTGCTCCGTTTTTTCCCCATCTTTGTGGTTTTATCTACTTTTGGTCTTTGATGATGGTGATGTACAGATGGGTTTTTGGTGTGGATGTCCTTTCTGTTTGTTAGTTTTCCTTCTAACAGACAGGACCCTGAGCTGCAGGTCAGTTGGAGTTTGCCATAGGTCCACTCCAGACCCTGTTTGCCTGGGTATCAGCAGTGGTGGCTGCAGAACAGCGGATTTTTGTGAACCGCGAATGCTGCTGTCTGATCGTTCCTCTGGAAGTTTTGTCTCAGAGGAGTACCTGGCCATGTGAGGTGTCAGTCTGCCCCTACTGGGTGGTGCCTCCCAGTTAGGCTGCTCAGGGGTCAGGGGTCAGGGACCCACTTGAGGAGGCAGTCTGCCCGTTCTCAGATCTCCAGCTGCGTGTTGGGAGAACCACTGCTCTCGTCAAAGCTATCAGACAGGGACATTTAAGTCTGCAGAGGTTACTGCTGTCTTTTTGTTTGTCTGTGCCCTGCCCCCAGAGGTGGAGCCTACAGAGGCAGGCAGGCCTCCTTGAGCTGTGGTGAACTCCACCCAGTTCGAGCTTCCTGGCTGCTTTGTTTACCTAAGCAAGCCTGGGCAATGGCGGGTGCCCCTCCCCCAGCCTCGCTGCCACCTTGCAGTTTGATCTCAGACTGCTGTGCTAGCGATCAGGGAGACTCCGTGGGCATAGGACCCTCCGAGCCATGTGCGGGATATAATCTCCTGGTGCGCCGTTTTTTAAGCCCGTCAGAAAAGTGCAGTATTAGGGTGGGAGTGACCTGATTTTCCAGGTGCTGTCTGTCACCCCTTTCTTTGACTAGGAAAGGGAACTCCCTGACCCCTTGCACTTCCTGAGTGAGGCAATGCCTCGCCCTGCTTCGGCTCATGCACGGTGTGCTGCACCCACTGTCCTGCACCCACTGTCTGGCACTCCCTAGTGAGATGAACCCGGTACCTCAGATGGAAATGCAGAAATCACCCATCTTCTGCGTCGCTCAAGCTGGGAGCTGTAGACTGGAGCTGTTCCTATTCAGCCATCTTGGCTGCCCTCTCTTTTTATTTTTCAATAAGGATGTTTTTAATTATCTTTTCATATTCAAGAATGAAAACACAGTTTTGAGTGTGTGTGTATCTCCTATTTATTTATTATATCTTTTTTCCTGACCCAGGTAGATTATGCATATGGAAAATAAAGAGAGAAATTTACAATAAGCCAATAAAAACAAGAGAATAATAAAGATATTTATTTGATGGTAAATATATATTTAATCTGTACCACTTTTCCTCTAACTTAAGACTATATAATCTCAACATTTTATATATGCTTTGAAGATTGAGTTAAAAGTACTTCCATAATTGAGGTAATATTCTTTTTTTTTTTTTTTTTTTGAGGTGGAGTGTCACTCTGTCACCCAGGTTGTTATGCAGTGGTGCAATCTTGGCTCACTGCAAACTCCACCTCCCAGTTCAAGCAATTCTTCTGCCTCGGCCTCCAGAGTAGCTGGGATTACAGGCATGCACTTAAATACCCAGCTACTTTTTGTATTTTTAGTAGAGGTGTGGTTTCACCATGTTAACCAGGCTGGTCTTGAACTCCTGACCTTAAGGTGATATTCATTTTAAGGTTTTGTTCATGAAGAAATGTAAATCATGAGTTGTTTTTCCCTGTTATTATATGGTTGTGGCACTCATACTTTGAAGCATATGAAACATCAGCTAAGAGACTAAATTCTGTCATTAGTATATTATAATCACATCACCTTTCTTCTATTCTTGTAATTGCTTTTTGAAAAAAAAATAAGAATATATGAAACTCTTGATTACTTGATTTACACATGGCAAATAATGTATTGGGTATAATTGTAAATTATATTATACTCACATTTAAAGTACAAGTATTCTAAATTAACAATTTTGACAGTCAGCTCTTAGTTCCTGAAATATTAGAAAGTTCAGAAATAACCAAAGTCAATCCTAAATCTATTAAATATGCTGCATCAAGTCCTTATTTCTTGCTTAAATTCCAAAAAGAATTGTTTTACTTATTTTTCATTGAAATAAAATTGAATTGTCTACATTAATTAATTTGTTTAATTGTATTTACTGACACATATAACCACTTCTTTATTTAGTTATATGCTGGGTTGATATGTATCCCAATAGACCTAACAAGTTTAATGAAATGCCTAGACAAATCAGTCAATATTTCAGTTAACTTTTTATAAGTTTTTAAGTAAATAAAAAGTGAGTTATTCTGTTTAAAAAATATATATTTTCTGTTGTCTGCTTTCCAGCCATATAAATCATCTAGCAGACATCAAAATTTTATAAAACCCAGTAATCTTAAATGCAAAAGAGAAAATTTACAGGTCTTTTCATAGCCTTAATAACTTCATGGAAAAAGATGTTGTCTCTGGAAACTTAATTATTTGAGCATCTCTTAAAAAATTCTTCATACAAAACAAATTCTAAATTCAAAATGCTTTGTACTCCATCTCTGCCTAGCTCGTGTGTTTCACTTTTACTTTCACCTTTCATTTTGATCAAGGAAATGTCTTTTCCCTTTAACTTCTGAAAAATAAGAAAATTATGTACATTATCCCATTTTGCATTTTCAGTATTTTCTACGAATCTTCCAAAAGACACTTTAGAATATATTTTCCAGCTCCTGTAAACTAGTGTGTCTTGGTTAAATCTAAGATATACCTTAACGAAATTCAAGGGCATGTTACTATCACTGTCATCTCTTTGAAGTGTTGTTAATGATTAACATATATATATGTGTGTATATATATATACTTCTAAGATAACTTTAACTTTAACTTATAACAAATGTAATCTCAACACATTTTTTCTATGCTTTAAAAATCAGTTTCTTTGAAATTGTGTGTGTGTGTGTGTGTGTGTGTGTGTGTGTTTAATGCCATGAAAGTTATCAGCTTTTAGGAGAGGAGAGAATAGAGTGAGATGAACAATTATATGCCAAGAAGTTGGGTAACCTAGAAGAAATGGACAAATTCTAAGACACATACAGTCTACCAAGACTGAACCATGAAGAAATATAAAGTTTGAATAGATCAATCACTAGTAAGAAGATTGAATCAATAATAAACAAAGTCTATCATCAAAGAAAGGCCCAGGACCTGATGACTTCACTGCTGAAGTCTACCATTTAAAGATCTAATAATCTAGCATTTAAATAACAAATAATCCCTTAGTCTATTTAGTGTTGTTATAACAGACTGAGGTTGGGTAATTTATAAAGAAAGTAAGTGTATTTTGCTAACAATTCTGGTGACTGCAAGGTTCAAAATTGGGCAGCTGCATCTGGAGAGGACCTCACATTGCTTCAACTCATGGTGAGAAGTGGAAGGGGAGCACATGTGTGCCGAGAGATGATATCGTGAGAGAGGAAGCAAGAGAGAGAAACCAGAGAAACCAGATTATTTATAACAACCCATGCCAGTGATAATTAATCCATCCTCACAAGAGGAAGAACACACTAACCCCTGTGGGAGGGTCTTAATCTTAATTTATTCATGAGAGATGTAACCCATGACCCAAACACCTTTTACTAGGCTCCACTCCCCAAAACTGCCACACTGGGGATTAAATTTTAATATTAGTTTTAGTGGGGCAAATGTCATTCAAACTAGCATAATCCTTATAAGCTCTTCTGAAAAACTGAAAATGAGAGAATACTTCCAGACTCTTTTTATGAGACTAGTAACATCGTTTTACCAAATGTAGACAAGGATATCACAAGAAAGGGAAACTTTAGGCTAATTTCTTTGATGAAAATAGATGCAAAAATCCTCAGCAAAATACTAGAAAAGTGAGTTCAACAGCACTTGAAAAGGATCATTCACCATTATCAAGTGGGTTTAACCCTGGGATTCTGGGGTGGTTCAATACATACAACTCAATAAATGTGATACCTTGTAACAATAGAATGAAGAACAAAAAAAGTATGGTCATATCACAGAAAATTTATCTGACAAAATTCAAATACGTTTTAATGATTAAAAAAAACCCTCTCAACAAATTAGGTATAGAAGGAATGCACCTCAACACAATAAAGGCCGTCTATGATAAACTCACAGCTCACATTATAGTCAATGGTGAAAAAATTGAAGCTCTTTTCTCTAAGATCCAGAACAAGATAAGAGTAACCACTCTTTATCACTTCTATTCAACATAGTAATGGAAATCCTAGCCAGAGCAAGTAGGCAAGAGAAAGAAGTAAAAAGCACCCAAATAGGAAAGAAAGAAGTGAAAATGTCCCTGTTTGCTAGAGACATGATCTTATACATAAAAAACCTTAAAGAATTTGCCAAAAACCTGTTAGAACTAATAAACAAATACAGAAAAGTTGCAGGATACATTAACAAGAAAATTCCATAGCGTTTCTATACACTAACAACACACGTTCTGAGAAAGAAATCAAGAAAGCAATCCCATTTACAACAGCTACAAAAAGATAGAAAACCTCTTAAAAATAAATTTAACCAAAGTAGTGGAATACCTGTACCCTGAAACCTATAAAACATTAATGAAATAAGTTGAAGAAGATATCATGGATTGAAAGAAAAAATATTGTTAAAATGTCCATACTGTTTGAAGTGATCTACTTCAATGCAATCCTTATCAAAATTCCAATGCCATATTTCAGAAAAATGGAAAAAAATGATCTTGGAATTCATATGGAACCACAAAAGAACCACAATAACCAAGGCAATCATGACCAAAAAACCCAAAGCTGGAGGCCTCAAAATTCCTGCTTTCAAACTATATCACAAACTGATAGTAATTAAACAGCATGGTACTGGCATAAAACAGACACATCAGTCAATGAAACAAAATGGGGAGTCCAGAAATGAACCCACACATGTACAGTCAATTGATTTTTGACAAAGGTGTCCAGAATACACAATGGGAAATAGGCTGTATTTTCAATAAATTATGTTGGGAAAACTGGATATCCATATGCAGAAGAATAAAATTGGACCCTTATCTCACATCATGTACAAAAATTTACCCAAAATGGATTAAGAACTTAAACAAAAGACTTGGAACTATAAACCTACAAAATAAAACTTAGGGGAAAATCTCTATGACATTGGGATGGGCAATAATTATTAAGATTGGACTCCAAGAACATAGACAACAAAAGCAAAAACAGACAAATGTATCAAGAAAAAAGGCTTCTACACAACAAATGAAACAAATAAAAGTGAAGATATAACATATAGATTGGTAGAAAATATTTGCAAGCTATACATTTGATAAAAGGTTAATATTCAAAATGCATAAAAAACCCAAATGACTATATAGAAAGAAAACAATCTGATTTTAAAATGAGTAAGCGAGCTGAAATAGATACTTCTTAAAAGAAGACATACAAATAGGCAACAGCTAGATGAAAAAATGCTCAACATCACTAATCATTAGGGAAATGAAAATTAAACCAGAGCTTGTCTCTTCTGTTAGAATGGCTATTATATATATAAAAAACATAAATGTTGGGAAGTATATGGGGAAAAGGGAATCCTTGTACACTGTTGGTGAGAATGTAAGTTACAGCCTTTATGAAAAACAACAGGGAGGTTTGTGAAAAAAGTAAAAATATAGTTACCATATGATCTAGCAACCTCACTTCCAAGTCTTTACCCAAAAGATTTGAAATCAGTATGTCAAAGAAATGTTTGCACTCCAGTGTTCTTTGCAGAACTGTTCATAACAGCCAAAATATGGAATCAAGCAAAGTGTCTATCAACAGATGAATGCATTAAAAATATGGTACATATACACAAGGGAATATATTCAGCCTTATGAAAGGAATAAATTCTGTGATTTGAACATGGATGGAATTGGAGAACATTATGCTATGTGAAATAAGCTAGGAATATAAAGATAAATACCACATGTTCCCACTCCTGTTTGGAATTTAAACAGTCAAAGTCATAACACAAAGGATGGTGATTATCAGAGGCTAGGAAATGGGGAGAATGGGGAGATGACAGTGAAAGGGTTTAAAGCCTTGGGGGAAATAATGGGTTTTTTTTTTATCTATTGCCCAATGTGGTGACTATAGTTAATAACAGTGTATGGTACATTCCAAAATCATGAAGAGTAAATTCCAAATGTCTTCACTACATGAAATAAGTATTTGAGGTAATGATATGTTATATAGCTTGATTAAATTTTCTACATTGTATTAATCATAACATCACTTTGTACTCCATAAATATATACAACCATAATTTGTTAATTTACAATAATAAAAGAAAGTACTCAAGATGGAAAAGTAAAATGGTTAGACATAAATAAAATAGAGAAGTTGGAAAAAAGCCAATGTGACTATTGCCATATAATAGTTTCAAGACATTAGTCTATTCACTGTAAGGAATGTTTAAACAATAACAGCATAATTATGACAGAAACACAAAAATATTTTCTTCTATTTCTTCAAGAAATCTAAAATTTTGACTGCTTTATTAGATCATTTAAAAAGTTAAATCTGAGTCTGTGCAATTATACACATGGAAGATGTTGCTAGAATTTCCTGGAAATATATTCACAAGTGCTCAAAAGAGATTGCTAACATAGTACTGCCGATAATTTTGTAACATCGTTATTCTTGTTTTAGAACAGTTTTTTAAGTATCACATTGGCCCTAGCCATCTAACTAGAGAGAAACAATATAGCTCTATGCTAGCACCCACAATATCACAATAGTATCTTCTAGGTAATCAAAATGAGAGAGAATTCCACAATTGTATTTTTTAAATTATGCTTTAGAAGAAGTGTGAAATGTTTTCATATTCTGTAACAGGTTTTAACCCATGGTATTTAAATTAATAACATGCTTTCATAACATTTGGGAGGCAAAACAAATTATCTTACAAATTACATTGTAGTAATTTTTAAGGTAAGCACACCTGATTTTCAAATATATAGAAATAAATCTTAAATACACTTATTTTTATGTTTTGACTTGAAAAGTAAAATAAAAAAATTAAAGTATGAATTTTAAGAGAATTCCTATTTTTATATGTAAGTGTTTAAAATTTAAAGTTCTCTCCCCACAAATCTTGAGGAAATCATATCATAATTATCAAGGCAATTATATTGTACTTTCAACCATATTAGGTAAAATATGATTCTTGCATAGTTTTGAGGAACTAATTTTAAATCATTATATATACATATATATTAAAATGTGTGTGTGTGTATATATATATATATATATACACATACATATGTGTGTATATAAAAATCAGGATTGTATCTGATGAATGCCAACATAAGTATTGAATTAATTACTTTAATGTAACTATGTAAAGAAGCCAAAGATTTATGCACAGATGATCAATCTATAAACTTTGCTCATTTTTGAAAATTAGCTATTTTATCTATAAGAATATAATAAAAATTTCACTTTCAAGATTGAAATAATACTAAAGAACAAAATAGGTATGTTCAATACTTACCAGTTTACTTATTATAGAACTAAAAGTGCTTTGTCATGGTGAAAAATAAATTAAGAGAAAGATTTAGATGGCATTTTAATTGAATAGAAATGAACGTGTGCTTTTTTTATGAGTATACCAAATGTGTATATTTAGGATGTGCGTGCTTGCTTGGTTTTGCTTGTGCTCCTGTTTTCGTCTTGGCTTATCTGCCTGGCTTTGTGTCCTGGGAGGCTGGCCCTAGGGACTCCAGGTGCTTCCTGCCCTCAGGCTTCTGGCTGGGCTTGGTTAATGGAAGGTGCTGGAGATGATACTGTAAGGACAGAGATGTGGGGTTCTTATTTCTCCTATTCCATCCCTGCCTTGGTTTTGCAGGGACTACATTCCTTTGCAATGCCAGAGCACGTTAATTTTTGGCAGGGTTATCAATCTCTGTGAGTAATTCACTAGAAGCTCCTCATCAACACTACACTAAACTTTGGGATGAGAAGGTTTGGGTGGTTGGTAAGTAAGACAATGATACCATCTTTTATGATGCCCTACATGAAAGATTTATGATAAAAAATTTACTCATGCAAATATAGAGACTGGGAGGTCCCAAGATCCAGAGTCAGTAAGCTGGCAAACCAGGAGAACCAAAGGTGGGAGTGCTAGTCTGAAAGCCCACAGGCTCAAGACTCAGGAAAAGCCAGTTTCTTATTTCAAGTCTGAAGTCAAGAAAAGACTGATGTCCCAGCACCAATGGTCAGATGCAAGGAGTTTCTGCTTACTCAGCCTGTCTCTTCTGTTCAGGCCTTGAATTGACTGAGTAAGGTCCACCCACATAAGGGAAGGCAATCTACTATACTCAGTTTACCCATAAAGTGTTAATGTCATCCAGACGCAGTCTCACAGAAACACAGAAAGATTTTCGGCCAAATGTCTGGGCACTCTGTGGCCCCAGTCAAGTCAACACATAACGTGAACCATCACAGCTGAGAAAAAGTAATAAAGTAGCTTTTAGAAGTTCTTTCAGATTTCTTTCATTTTATACATAAAATAGATCAATTGGGAGGGAAGATGGCATGTGGTATTTGAATTTGAGGAGAGAGAGAGTATAAAAAATTATCTGTAAGAGAAAAGGCTAAATTGTCTATCAAACTGTGGAATAATTTCCCTTTGAGGTTTGTGGTCATGAGTTTACACTGAGGTCTATCAAAAAATGATGTAGTCCATGTAGCTTCACGGTGACAAGCCCAGAGTAGGTGGAGAAGTGAATTTAATCAGCACTGGAATTATGCTAAAAGCGTATAAAATGAAACAAGAAAAAGAGAGGTAACAAAAATAAAGAATAGTGCAAGACATGAAAATAATGATGTACCATAAAATCCAAGCCTTTAGACCAGAAGTAAGAATAAGAGGATGATAAGAGGATGATAAGGGAATGATAATGCACAGAAAATGGCAGTAAGATGCATGTAGTTATTTTGGAGGTTGAAGAATGGTTGGAATCAGTGTATTACAGGGAATGAACTAAAAAGGTAAGTGGTGGTGGTTGAAAATTGGGATGCTCGAAGTTGATATAATAAGAAGACTTGGACTGATTAACAATGACGAGACACATGGTCATGGAGTGAGAGACAAACAGGGTGGAGAACAAGGTCATCAGTAGATGTAAGGGCAAAAACTGTGAATGCAGGATTTTGGAAAAATACACTAAATGGATACAGAAATCATCATTAATTATGACATGAACTATGAAGATAGTGATTCTAACTCCAGGAGTTAGAATCTTCAGGAAATGAGTGGGAGACACAGTGGTTTTGCAGAAGAGTGAGACACAGAGATGCAGTGCATGGTATAATCTGTTGGCATGAATGTGATGATCTTGGAAAATGATGAAGAACTAGAATATCAAAATTCTACCTCCAGGCCCAGTTATGAAGGCCATGGGAGAGAAGACCGATGCTACTTCCAGCAGTGCAGGGAAGTGGTCCTTAGGGAATTAGGCTTCAATAAAAGGAAAGTAAAGTTAGAGAAGGGGTAGAAATATAGGACATTTTGCTGATGACTGACTATGGGTTTCTGAGCCATAATTGAAGTTTTGGGAACTTGAGAAGAGAAGTGAGAAAAGGAAAAAATAATTAGATGTTGAGAGAATTCCAGAATAAATGGATAGTCGTTGGTCCTAGGATCTCTGAAGTGGGCAGATTTAAAATAGGACAAAGGATATAATGGCATCAGTTCTGCAGGTTTCAGGCATATAGTGATGCCTAAGCTCTAAGAGTGGGTTGTCCAGAGAGTGGAGGTTGTATTTTGAAACTCATGCAGATCTACTGAGCTCCATATGCACCCCTGTAAAGGGTAATGTGAAAACTGTCTGAGGGGAAATCCCTCACTCCTTGGAGTAGTCTTTGGGTCTGTGATTCTCCAGTTTGCTGAAAGCTGAGTGGATCTAAGGGAAAACTATCTGTGGCGCACAGATTTCTGTAGCTTCCTTTCTATCCTGCTTTCAGCTCTGAGGCAGAGAACTTGATAGCGGACATTGTGACATCTTGCTCTGTGATACCTGGTAATCAAATACGTACATATTATCTGATGTACTAAGGTTTTTTCAAAAGGGTTCAAGCTGGGGGTAAGAAAAATGAGAAATTTGAAACTAAATTATCACACGTGAAAATGTATGTGGGAACGAGACTGCCTGAACATCCATCTTGGCTGCTATCCGTGGTCATATACACAATGGGAAACTACCTCCAAGTATCTTTTAACCCAACTTTTCTCCTTTCCTCACCCATTTTAGATAATAGAAGGGAGAGTTTTTGGGAAAAAAAAAAAACACTGTGATGCAAGATCAGTTTATAACCTCTATTTTGAGAATTCCTTCTGCAAGTGTGGATAGAGAGAATTATTAGACATTTTTATGCTGGTTAGTGAAGGTGAGAGCCCTGGACATGATTGGTTGCACACGTGTCACTGGTAGCAGTAGACATCCACGGCTGCAGGGAAGAATGAAATTCTGGGAGACGTAAGCAATGACACAGGGGTAGAAATATAGGACATTTTGCTGATGACTGACTATGGGTTTCTGAGCCATAGCTGAACTTTTGGGAACTTGAGAAAAGATGTGAGAAAAGGAAAAAAGAATTAGATATTGATGGAATTCCAGAATTGAATTCCTTTCTCCGGCCGCCACAAGGGAGCTGCAGGGGAACTTCCATTAAGGGGGCAAAAGGAGAACAGCCTGGAGAGGATGCAGAGCTAGGCCCAGTGGTGATGACAGATTATGACCTAGCGCAAAGGCTGCTGGAGGAACCACATAGAGAGAGGAATCCTGGGAGAATATCAGACCATTTAAATGGGTGGGAGCTCCAAACTGGTGGATGTGTTAATTGGTGCAAATGGGACTCACATACTCAACTGAATGGCCAATCAGGAAAATTATTTATTATAAAAGAGAAAGGGAGGGAGTGAGGGGGAGAGAGACAGAGAGAGAGAGAGAGAGAGAGAGAGGAATCTATTAGCTGTCCTAGATTGCAGTGCAGTCTAATTGAAGACTTTAAGTTCTAACATATTAGAACTAATGAGCTGGTGACTTATAATGGCACATATATTAAAGTACACCTAATATTGAAATTAGTTAGATTATCTCATCATTAGACATTGTTACTAACTAATGTTTTGGAAAATCAGAATATCAGTGAATAGGAACTACCTTTCTAGAATTACTCTCCTCTTTGCAGTAACACTAACCCTCTTTTCATTTTTTCTATGATCTATATTATTGGGATATGCCATGTGTTTCCTCACTTTACCCAATTATAACTGCTCTCCTGATATTTATGAATTTGGATCATGTGATCATCCAATGAATACTAATAAATAGTACCAAGTCTGTCCACTTAATAAAATATGTAAGCCAGGCATGTTGGATCACACGTATTATCCCAGCACTTTGGGAGGCTGAGGAGGGACGACTGCTGGAGTCTAGGAGTTTGAGACCAGCCAGGCAACATAGTGTGCCCCCTACACTGTATAAGAAATAAAAAATTAGCTGAGCATGATGGTGTGCCTGTAGTCCCAGCTACTCAGAAGGCTGAGGTGGGAGGATTGCTTGAGCCGGGAGTTCGAGGCTGCAGTGAGCTGTGATTGTGCCACTGCACTCAGCCTGGGCGACAGAGTGAGACCCTGTCTCAAAATAAATAAATAAAATAAAATAACAAGCAGACTTCTTTCAGTTAAACTTGAATTCAGGCTGTAAAAATAAATAGACTCAAATATGTAAGGGACCACAGACATCTGTGTCTTACGTAACAGTTCTAAGAGATTTTTCATCTTCAGAGACAGTTCTTTTCCATGCAAGCTTACAGCAGCCCAGGCTTCTTCATTTACATGATTCCATAATTTCCTAGGGCTTCCTTATTGAGTGTTTCCAAGTGGTAAAGTAGAAAAAAAAAAACCCACCTCGGGCAGGCACTCCATTCTTGCATCTTAAACCCTTTGCCTTGGAACAGCACACATTCCTTTTGCTCTCATTCCTTTGAGAGGAATCAGTGCTATGACTACATCTAGCTACAAGGGGGCATGGATGTACAGCTCCTGTGTGGGCAGCCACCTCCCAACTACTACTCTGCTTAATATAAAAGGAGAAAATCTTTGTGCATTCTAATTCCCACACATAGAACACATTTTTACCCTTATTCAGAGACACAACCCAAGTCCTATCCAGTCACCACACTCAACTTAAAGCTCAGGATCTCTGAGTGATGCCTAACTTCTCCTCTGAAGCTAGAAAAGGCTTCTTATTGTCTTGTCACTTAATAACTAAAAATATAATTTATTTGACAACACACACATCAGGCTTGCTGGCAACAGGTTTACTAAGGCAACAGGGAAGCAGGATAAAAAGTAGGTATTTGGATCTCCTATTACATATTTTACTCTGACTCAGACGACAGGGACCCAGCAGGGTCAGACAGTAGGCCCTGGGAGAAGGAGGAAGGACTTCCTGAGCTATGAGACTGAAAGAGGCCCAGGCCTGCCCCTGAGATTGTCAGGGCCTGGGATTCAACCACATTATACTGTGGCAAATACTTGGCTCCGGCCCAACTTTGCTAGTTTATCCTTCATGGGAAGAAGCATGTGATACCATTCTCTGGATTGATCAGGACTCTTTTTTGCAGATGTACAAGACAAATCAGTGGCCTAATCTGCTGTCCCGCCATTGCCGTGGTTCAGGAACACAGCCCCTCCCATTGTGTGAACAGGAGGCTGGAGTTCAAGCCTTGTGGTTACAGCATGTAAGGCCTGGCTGCCAGGTGGCCCAGCTGACCACATCAGGACTCTATCAGGCTTGATGGTTTTAAGTACCTTGCTGTTGTCAGTTTTCATGCTTAGCATGAGACCACTCTGCAAGAAATGTGTTATTTTTTTACTTCTTAGAGCAGGAATTCATTATATTACACATTATCATTTTATTATGATTATTGCAAGAAACATGAGGAAACTTACAGAACAGGCATAGGACAGTAAAACTTATTATGTTTTCAGTCTGTGTTTTAGGTTTGAGCTTCTGACAGATCTGTCACTTGAAGACACTAAGGCACTAAAAAGAATTGCATTTAATATAAGTGACATAATTCTATAGAAGGACATATAGACTCAAACTTATGGGAATATTTTATAGGTGGGAAAGCCACAATATTTCTTAAAGTAGCTAAATTCAAATAAAACTTTTCTAAAAATAGTTATTTTGAAATTAAACCTGAGAAGAATTTCTTTCTTCCTTTTCTTGAGACAAAATCTGGCTGTATCGCCCAGGCTGGAGTGCAGTGGCATGATCTTGGCTCACGCTGCAACGTCTACCTCCCAGGATCAAGGGATCCTCCCACTTCAGCCTCTGAAGTAGTAGGGACTACAGGCGTGCACCAACGCACTGGGCTAATTTTTGTATTTTTTTATAGAAACAGGGTTTCACCATGTCACCATGTTGGCCAGGCTGGTCTCAAATTCCTGCGCTCAAGCAATCTTACCACCTCAGTCTCCCAAGGTGCTAGGAATACAGGCCTGCACCACTGCACTGGCCCCAAAAATAATTTCTTATCTTGATCAGCTCAGAGACAAGAATATACTAAATAGATAACAAACTTGTCTTTTATTAATACTAGACTAGTGCCAGAGTAAGGAAAAATCACTATGTATAATAAAAATATACATATATAAGCAAATTCCATAGGATTATCAATAAAAAGAACACAAATATTATGTTTTCTGTTATTTTCATACAGGTATATGTTTAATGTAAATGAATTTTTTTGATGCTTATGTATAATACAATCAATGTTCTTTCAATTGGCTAAGGAAATAATGCTTCTCTATATTTTTAGTAAGAAAAATAGAAACTTTGTCTTTATTTGGATGAATTTCGCCTCATTTAAAAAAATACACAATTACCAGAAAAAATGTAATTGCAGTGGACTGAATATTTATGTCCTCCCAAATTCATATATTGAAATCCTGTTCCCCAAGGTGATATTATTAGGAGGCGGAACTTTTGAGAGATGATTATGTCATGAGAATGAAGCCCTTATGAATGGGATTAATGTCTTTAAGGAAGAGGTTCTAGAAAATTCCTTCTCCCCTCCTGTTATGTGAGGCTATAGCCAAAGGAAGGCTAACTACAAGCCAGAAAGTGGGCACCCGCTAGACACAAAATCTGCCGGAAACTTGCTCTTGGACTGTCTAATGCCTCCAAACTGTGAGAATTAAATTCCTGTTGTTTTTAAGCTACCTAGACTATGGTGCTTTATTATAGGGGCCCAAGTAAATGAAGATAGCATTCTACTATTTACGTTAAGAAGTTTTTAAAAATATAATTTAAAAAATTCAAATGCAATGTGAGGCTAATTAGATCTCACTCCCAACTTATTCTATAGGTTTGATCAAGCTGTTAATCTGGTAGCCATATCTCCAGAAGCCCAAGCTATTTTAATATTTTTTAGAAAACTCTGATTCAACTAAGTTTGGAGCACCAACAGGTGTTTATTCTATTACTTATTTTATCAATTGATATTTGGTATTAATCCAGTTGTATTAAACAGATTTTGTTATATAATTACTAATATTTCATGCAACTCTAAATTCGTATTTTTTTTTATTATTATACTTTAAGTTTTAGGGTACATGTGCACAATGTGCAGGTTAGTTACGTATGTATGCATGTGACATGCTGGTGCGCTGCACCCACTAACTCGTCATCTAGCATTAGGTATATCTCCCAATGCTATCCCTCCTCCCTCCCCCCACCCCACAACAGTCCCCAGAGTGTGATGTTCCCCCTCCTATGTCCATGTGTTCCCAATGTTCAGTTCCCACCTATGAGTGAGAATTTGCAGTGTTTGGTTTTTTGTTCTTGAGATAGTTTACTGAGAATGATGATTTCCAATTTCATCCATGTCCCTACAAAGGACATGAACTCATCTTTTTTTTATGGCTACATAGTATTCCATGGTGTATATGTGCCACATTTTCTTAATCCAGTCTATCGTTGTTGGACATTTGGGTTGGTTCCAAGTCTTTGCTATTGTGAATAGTGCCGCAATAAACATACATGTGCATGTGTCTTTATAGCAGCATGATTTATAGTCCTTTGGGTATATACCCAGTAATGGGATTGCTGGGTCAAATGGTATTTCTAGTTCTAGATCCCTGAGGAATCGCCACACTGACTTCCACAATGGTTGAACTAGTTTACAGTCCCACCAACAGTGTAAAAGTGTTCCTATTTCTTGTATTTTTATTTGTTTTTGTTTTTTATATATTTCATTTTTAAATTTCCATTTGCCAAATAGTAATGAAACATTTTATGTATTATATTTTTCTGATTTTATTGATTAGATATGTTTTATGTTATGGGATGTGACAATAAAAACAAAATGGGCAGTGGATTTGAGAAATAAACCCATAGGTGCCTGAGGGATGTAACACACAATTGGAGTGCAGTGTGTGCTTGGCCTTTAATTTATATGAGATTGCCTCTGTTTGAGGGTTAAGTCTCTAAGATCTGGCACTGAGGAAGATTGGTGAGTTATTAAACAGAAAAGATCTACAGGGGAAGAAAAAATCAGCTTCAGCTGGAGAAATATTTAAAATATGTTATTTCCTAGGAACTGAATGAACATGCATTCTTCAAATTTTTTGATTTAATGATAATAAACTAGTTTTATATTAATCAATATTGCAGTATAGGCTATGTCACAAGTGTATTTGTTTGATTTTCATTTTAATCAGTTTCTCTTTCTTTGTTTTAATAGTTAAAGAACGTTAGTCGTGAAATTTTAGTTCCATGGCTAATTAAGGTGTCACAGAAGTATGAAAGAAACCATACAGGGGACACCTAAAAATTTTATTATCCTAGATGTCTCTAAGGTAGATTTGGACTCTGCTCAATTGTTGTTTTTAATTCATTTTGAATCCATTACTGGCCTTCATTAGAAATATCTTGTCTTCCCTGAATGTTTGCTGTGCTATCATTTACATGTTTGTGTTTTAAGACATGCAAACAGAAATGTCTAGTGCAGAGCTGATCAGAATTGACCTGACTCATGTAATAGGACTGCCAATAAGATTGAGCACTTGAATTATCCAATGCAGCCCAGATTAAGCATGGAGGAAGTCTCTGGTAGAATTAGTTCATCTAGGTTTCTGTTTTGCTAGATGGATACAATAAAAAGAGTGAGAGGCAGGGAGGTTAGGTTACTGAAAGAAGGTTTAGTAAAATAGAGTAATGTAATCCCAGCTGGGTAAGGGGGAGAAGAGAACTAAAAGAAGTTTAATAAATGAGAAAATGTTCAGAAGTTAAAAGCTTAAAGTTCCTTTTTAGGTAAGCAAATACTCATTATGGGCATAGCAAGTGTACAGGAATTGGCTGAAAAGTTATAGCAAGGCACAGGAGGAGAGGATGGGTCCAGACGTAGATATGTTTATATGTTTCATAAAGGAAAGTGACACAGATGACTGATTTGAGTGTTGCTGGGGAAGGTTCTCAATTTTTCAGTCACGCATTCACATTCATGCATTCATTCAACATATAATGAGTGGTTAACATGTGTTTGGCAATATTCCAGGTACTGGAAGTCCACCAGTGAATAAAACAGGCAAGAATCCCTGATATTATGTGGCTTACCTTTAGTTGTGAAAATAGGGAGAACAGACTTTAATGAAAAATCAGTAAGTACAATTACAGTAAGTTCAATGATGATAACCACAATGAGAAAAATCAAGCATGAAGGGGCTAGAGAGAGGGAAAGAGAGAATGTGAGGAGTGTGTGTGTGTTGTTTTTTAAGAAATCTGTAAGAGTGCAGTGAAGAAGACTTCAAAGGAAGGAATAATACGTGTAAGGAAGTAAAGGACGATAGAAACCCATGTTGGTATCTTGAAGGAAGAGGAATACCCAGTGAAGTAAAAGCAAGTGCATTAGTATTTTTTGTTTATATTCATGAGGTAGAAGTGCAATTTTGCTACATTGATTATATTGCATTTGTTATATTGGATTATGGTGAAGTCAGGGCCTTCAGTTCATCCATCACTAGAACAATGCACACTGTACCCACCAAACAACCTCCTATCATCCACCCTGTCCCACCTCCCCACCCTTCCAAGTCCCCATTGTCCAACATTCTATACTCTGCTTCCATATTTACACACTATTTAATTAGACTTATGAGTGAGAATACACTGTAGTTGTCTTTCTGTGTTTGAGTTGTTTCCCATAAGACAATGACCTCCAGTTCTACCCATGTTGTTGCAAAAGCCATGATTTCATTCTTCTTCATGGTGATTACTATTCTTTTGTGTGTGTGTCTGTGTGTGTGTGTATATCACACTTTCTTTATGCAATCTTCCATTGGTGGACACAAGTCGATTCCAAATATTTGTTATTGTGAATAGTGCTGCAATAAACATACAAATGGAGGTATCTTTTTGCTATAATGATTTATTTTCTTTTGGGTAGATACCCAGTAGTGGGATTGCTGGATCATATGGTAGTTCTATTTTTAGTTCTTTGAGAAATTTCCATACTATTTTCCATAGGGGTTGTACTAATTTACATTCCCACCAACAGTGTTCTCTTCTGTTCATCAGCATGTGCATTTTTTCAGTGACAGAAAGAGGGCTGATATAGCTGGGCCAGAGCAAACAAGAGTGAATTGTAGGAAATGGGTCCAGAGAGGTTTTGGAGGGCAGGCACCAGGTCCTGTAAGGCCTGGTGAACTTTTAGGCTGACTTTAGATAAATTCTAGAACTAGAAAACCTTTGGAGGGTTTTCAGACAGAAGGATTTGGTTTTCCATGTGGTCACTGTGCTTACCAAATTGAGAATAGATGGATTGGTGGCCAAAGCAGAAGAAGAGGGATGTGTTATGGGGTTATTGCAAGAATCTGAGTAGACACAACAGCGTTTTGCTCCAGAATATTAGCAGTGCACATGAAGAGAAGAGGTCAGAGGTGGGATAGATTTGAAGAAAGAACTCCTTTGTGCAGTAAAAGAAAAAGTGAGATGGGAGAATCTGAGGGAGAGGCAGGTATAGGGATGACGATCAGAAATTTATTTCTTGTTTCTTATTATGGAATCATAAAGTGTCAGTTTTAGGCCATTTCATACCTATTGTAAAGGGTGTTTGAGACAGGAGAATCCGAGCCATTTCATTCCCATTGTTTAGCTTCCCACTTGGCTCTGCTCCTCCAAGAAGTTAAGTGATAATATGCAATGTTTTCAGTAAATGCTTAACAGAAATATGATTTACTTTTGTTGATTCTAGGCAGGGTGATTGGTTGACAATAAATAAAAAAGATTGGTCTTGTCATTTTCAAAGCTATATTTAACAGTATGACAATAATTCACAGCATAAATAATTACCATGGCAGCAGAGTTGGGATAATGAAGAGCAGGCAAAGCATGAATGAGATGAGGCAGGATCGTGCTGATGTGGATTTATTTTGTTAAAGCCCTAATCCTGCATATTGCCATGATTTAGATTGTATTCTCTAGAACCTATCCTTCATTGAAAAGGTGGTCAAGGACATTAGCCCAGAGTATCAGGTCCAGCAAATCAGTTGAGTTAGACATAGTTTAGAAAAAGTCATCAGAATTATTAAGAACGCAATATGAGTACAATTAAAATTTTAAAATATCCACAAAATACTAATATTGTTTTCAATTATTTGTACAATATTAATTATCTGTTAGGTAGATGTTTTTAAAATTATCACATCTTTTCCTACGTGGAGGCAGTTTACATAAACTGAATTTTTAAAAATAAGGCTTATTTTTCTCCCTGTTATGTTCTATGAACTTAGGCCTATTCTTCAATCAAAGGAATAAAGTATGTGATTTGCAGAAATGAAGCTTAAGATTCCAGTATGCCAATATATTATTTTAGAGCTACTATCTTCTTCATTATATAACCTCCTCCCAAAAACACTCGAAATTCTTGAAATAGGAAAAAAATTATTTTCACATCATTATTTCTGTAGTCATGTGTGAAATTTATCTAATTGGAAAAATAATGATTACAGAGTGAAACCCAGGGTAATGGCAATTTCACAGTCCATATCTTTAAAAGTCCCCCTTTACTCTCAGACCATCTTGTAAAAGACAACAATTGTAATTTTACACATATAGAAAGAATTATTTAAAATAGGAAACCTTGAAAAGACACTGTTAATAAGATCTATGGTATGTTCATATAATCACAAATTGCCCAGCACTTGCTGAGTGGTAGGCAGCTTGGGCTTAGTTTATAGCCCCTCCAGGAAATCTTGGAGATTCATGTTATTAGAGGGTCTCGTTTTTCACTGTAGATAAACATTCTAGCCTAAATATATTTGAGTTTTTTTTAAAAAAGCACACATTTACAATATTGAGTAGAGCACAATAATAAAAATTCATACATTAATAATTTATTAATAAATGGTATTTAATATTTTTCCACTAGATGCTGGCTTACAGATTTTATATGGATTTAAATCTCCTCCTTTATCGCATATAATCCTCAAAACTACTTACACTTAATAATTATGAAAACTTCTTTTGTTAGTATACATACTTCCTTTTATAGAGGAAGAAATTGAAGCTTGGGAAGGTTAAATTACTTGCCCAAGATTACATAATTAAAAAGGAGTGGAAACAGGATATTCGTCTCACATTAGTAATTGCAGTCTCTTAAATAAAACTACGTTAACGTCCTGTCTCTGCTTTGCGTAGCATGGGACAAGTAACTTCACATTTCTGGATTGAATTTCTTTATCTGTAACAGTAAATAATTATTCTGTACTTATCTCATAGGGTAGCTCTGAGAATGTATTGAAATAATGTATGCAAAACAGCCTAGCCTATCCTGTCTCATTTACCTTCTCATCTTGTTTTGGTTTGTTTTTTAAGGTTATAACTAGTATGACATGAATTTTAGAGTGTTCCACTGTTCTCTAATCTTTGGCAGATTTTGTATCCAATTGCAACTTTTCTCTCTTAAATATTCGTCAGGACCAATTTTTAAACTTATTTTTGCCTCCTAATTCTGTTTGTTTAATGAATATAGGTGTATTCAGATTTTGTAGTCTTCCTATAGCACAACATTTAGAAGTTCATTTTTGGAAGAAGGTGCGAATGTCACAGTTTTTATTTTATTTTTCTTGAATGATATACTAGCAATTTTAATGTTCTAGATTAATGGCTATTATTTTAATATTCTTTTTTGGGGGGAATGGAGTTTTGTTTTTGTTGCCCAGGCTGGAGTGCAATAGCGTGATCTCGGCTCACTGCAATCTCTGCCTCCGGGGTTCAAGCAATTCTCCTGCCTCAGCCTCCTAAATAGCTTGGATTACAGGCACCCGCCACCACGCCCAGCTAATTTTTTGTATTTTTAGTAGAAACAGAATTTCACTATGTTGGTCAGGCTGGTCTCGATCTCCTGACCTCAGGTGATCCACCTGCCTTGGCCTCCCAAAGCGCTGGGATTACAGGCGTGAGCCACCCCGCCCCGTCTATTTCAGTGTTCTTTATTTATAACTCGACTATCCTCTGCTTTAAACTCCTGTGATTTGCAGATTTCTCTTATTCCAATGGTCAGTCTTGGGTTAGGGCCTTTTTTCTTTTCTCTCTGGCTGCTTTTATAATATTCTTCTTGGCTTTTAATTTGTAGGTTTAATACAACAGACCAATCTGCTAGTCTCTGTTTATTGGTAACATTGTTTTTTAAAATAGTTCCCAAATTTAAAGATTTAGATTTAAAATTATTTCTAGAAAAAATGTAAAATGCTATTAAACATGGGTTTTTGCTACTGTTTCTCTCTGCTTCTTCTGAAAGTTCAAACATGTATCTATTATGTATATTATATAGCTCATAATAGTGAATGTCTCTAATACAGTTCACATTCTTGTGTAGTTTGCATTTCTATTATAATACTATATCTCACTATTAAATCTGCATTTTTCTAACCTCTCTATTAAGATTCTGTAGTTCTCACTTAACTGAATTCTGTTTAATACCTATTTCACCAAGTCACTGTTTAGTAAGTTATAATTAGCAGTCTTTTGGGATCTTAATTTTAGCGCTTATTTTCATTTTTAAAAGTACTCTATTTTGCTTTTTCGTATTTGCCTAATATTTGGGATAGTGCTTAACTTTTAGTTCTGTAGACACTTTAAAACCCTGATTCTAAAATCAACATTCTTGGGGGTCTCCTTCTGCTCTTCATTAATTCTAACGTCTCTGGGTGATGTTGGCTTATGTCTCTCTCTGTTTGATAACTTGATCAGTAAGCTCAGATCCATGAAGATTTATTTATGGGAGATGCAGGAAGCCTGCGTTGAACATTTGTTCCACCTGAGAGGATCTGCTTTTCCTTTTGCAAAGAACCTATGAAGCTATAAATGTAATCCCTTTTACATTATTTTTGTGACTGTGATTTTACTTGGTCATATTGTCAATAAAAATCTGACTCTTAACTTTGATCAAGAAGGGCAGTGTAAATTTTCCAGTGGAAAGATAGTTTACCCCAGCACATGGGCTACAAGAGACAAGCTTTGTTGATGTCTCTTGTCACCAGAGTACGTACTGCTAGAATACACATACACACACACAAACCCCATCCTGTATATCCATCCTCCAGTTCTCCCTTCAACGGAGGATTATATGAAAGGCTCAGCTTTGCTGAAACAAATCTAGGGACTCAGTGAGTTCTGGCGAATTGCCCTAGAGACAAGCTTGAGCTTTAATCCATTACTCTGGATTCCTGCTACTTTTTAAATTTGGTTTCTATGACGTTACCTTATTTCTTGAAGGTTAGCTAGCAATATGAAGAATGATTCTTACATTTTATCAGGATTACTAGGTGTTTTAGATTGTTGAATTCTTAGATGCCCAAGTCTGAAAGGAGTGCTCTCACTGCGTGGTAAACAGGCCATAAATTCTGTCTAGTCTTCTCATCAGTGCATTCCTCTAAATTATATTCCATAGCATTTTCCCTGTGTTTCTTGTCACCCTGAATCCTAAAGATTTTCTGACACTTCACAGGTCTTCCCAGATGATTTGCTGCTTTACATTGAGCCAGTGACTTCTGTTCCCTTAGTAGGTCTTCTTCCACTTCCAAGTGTGAAAAACCACCAGTGTTCCTAGCAGCTCTCTCCCTGTTCACAGTTTCATTCACATGCATATGAAACATCAATATCTCCAAAGCATGCTCCAGATTCTATCTCAGTATCTCCGAAGCTGGCCTCCTAACTACATTCAGGACAGCCAGTCTGATGTCCTCAAGCATGGTATACCAGATCCTGTTCTTGCATCCAGCTCCTTGCAGTGGAGAAGTCTTGATACCTCTGACTATTCCTTGCTTCTTTAGTGTGTTTCACTAATAAGTCTGCTTTGACTTCATTCCATTTTCTTTCCAAAGATACACGTACAATTATTTTTATTCCTTTTCTACATATGGATCAGGCTTTGAAACCTCGTTTCTAGTCAAATGCCTGGCATTTTACCTTAACTCTGGCACCCAGAAAAACTAAAACACCTGACTCTAAAGCGCTGCTGTTTTATTAATCAGTTTGGGCTGCCATAACAAAATATGATAGATCTGGTGTTGTATAAAGAACAGAAGTTGGCTGGGCATGGTGGCTCATGCCTGTAATCCCAGCACTTTGGGAGGCCACGGCGGGCAGATCATGAGGTCAGGAGATCGAGACCATCCTGGCTAACATGATGAAACCCTGTCTCTACTAAAAATACAAAAAATTAGCTGGGCGTGGTGGCACGCGCCTATAGTCCCAGCTACTCGGGAGGCTGAGGCAGGAGAATCTCTTGAACCCAGGAGGAGGAGGTTGCATTCAGCCGAGATTGAGCCATTGCACTGCATCCTGGACAACAAGTGTGAAACTCCGTCTATTAAAAAATAAATAAATGAATAAAATAAAGAACAGAAGTTTATTTTCTCACGGCTCTGGAAGCTGAGAAGTCCAAGATCAAGGTGCTGGCAGATCCAGTTCCTGGCAAAGGCTCTCTTCCTAGCTTGCTGTGTCCTCACAGAGCCAAGCCAGCAAGCTTTAGTCTCCTTCTCTTCTTAGAAGAGCACTAGTCCCATGATGAGGCCCCTGTTCTCATGACCACATCTAAACCTAATTATCTCACCATGGCATCATCTCCAAATATCATCACATTGCAGCTTAGGGCTTCAACATATGAATTTCGCGGAGACACAATTCGGTCTGTAGCCCCTGGGTTTAGAGACGTGTTGATTATCTGAGCCCTTAAACTGAGGACGAGTTTGGAAGCTCAGCTTGCAGATATATTTGACCTGGCCTGTTTTTTTCTTTTTGTTGTTTGTTTGTTTTTTAAATTATACCTTAATTTCTGGGATACATGTGCAGAATGTGCAGGTTTGTTACATAGGTATACATGTGCCATGGTGGTTTGCTGCACCCACAAACCCATCATCTACATTAGGTATTTCTGCTAATGCTATCTCTCCCTTATCCCCCTACCACCCGACAGGCCCCGGTGTGTGATGTTCCCCTCCCTGTGTCCAAGTGTTCTCATTGTTCAGCTCCCACTTATGAGTGAGAACATGGGGTGTTTGGTTTTCTGTTCCTGTGTTAGTTTGCTGAGAACGATGGTTTCCTGCTTCATCCATGTCCCTGCAAAGGACATGAACTCATCCTTTTTTATGGCTGCATAGTATTCCATGGTGTATATGTACCACATTTTCTTTATCCAGTCTATCATTGGTGGGCATTTGGATTGGTTTCAAGTCTTTGCTACTGTGAACAGTGCTACAATAAACATACATGTGCAAGTGTCTTTATAGTAGAATGATTTATACTCCTTTGGGTATATACCCAGTAATGGGATTGCTGAGTCAAATGGTATTTCTGGTTCTAGATCCTTGAGGAATTGCCACACTGTCTTCCACAATGGATGAACTAATTTATACTCCCACCAACAGTGTTAAAGCATTCCTATTTCTCCACAGCAGTTGTTTCCTGACTTTTTAATGATCACCATTCTAAATGGAGTGAGATAGTATCTCATTGTGGTTTTGATTTACATTTCTCTAATGACCAATGATGATGAGCTTTTTTTCATATGTTTGTTGACCACATAAATATCTTCTTTTGAGAAGTGCCTGTTAATATCCTTCACCCACTTTTTGCACTTTTTGATGAGATGTTTATTTTTTTCTTGTAAATTTGTTTACATTCCTTGCAGATTCTGGATATTAGTCCTTTGTCAGATGGATAGATTGCAAAAATTCTCTCCCATTCTGTAGGTTGTCTGTTCACTCTGATAACAGTTTCTTTTACTATGCAGAACTCTTTAGTTTAATTAGATCCCATTTGTTGATTTTGGCTTTTGCTGCCATTGCTTTTCGTGTTTTAGTAATGAAGTCTTTGCCCATGCCTACATCCTGAATGGTATTGACTAGGTTTTCTACTAGGGTTTTTATGGTTTTAGGTCTAACATTTAAGGCTTTAATCCATCTTGAGTTAATTTTTGTTTAAGGTGTAGGGAAGGGATCAAGTTTCAGTGTTCTGCCTATGGCTAGCCAGTTTTCCCAGCACCATTTGTTAAATAGGGAATCCTTTCCCCATTGCTTGTTTTTGTCAGTTTTGTCAAAGATCAGATGGCTCCAGATGTGTGGTGTTATTTCTGAGGCTTCTGTTCTGTTCCATTGGTCTGTATATCTGTTTTGGTACCAGTACCATGCTGTTTTGGTTACTGTAGCCTTGTAGTATAGTTTGAAGTCAGGTAGTGTGATGTCTCCACCTTTGTTCTTTCTGCTTAGGATTGTCTTGGCTATGCGGGCTCTTTTTTTGTTCCATATGCAATTCAAAGTAGTTTTTTCCAATTCTGTGAAGAAAGTCAGTGGTAGCTTGATGGGGATAGCATTGAATCTGTAAATTACTTTGGGCAGTATGGCCATTTTCATGATATTGATTCTTCCTATCCATGAGCATGGAATGTTTTTCCATTTGTTTTACTTCCTTGAGCAGTTATTTGTAGTTCTCCTTAAAGAGGTCCTTCACATCCCTTGTAAATTGTATTCCTAGGTATTTTATTCTCTTTGAAGCAATTGTGTATGGG
Organism: Homo sapiens; assembly: GCF_000001405.40. Lineage (NCBI taxonomy): Eukaryota > Metazoa > Chordata > Mammalia > Primates > Hominidae > Homo > Homo sapiens. The sequence goes on along the minus strand of NC_000004.12, from coordinate 179,612,488 downwards.
AGTTCACTCATAGTTTGACTCTCTGTTTGTCTGTTATTGCTGTATAGGAATGCTTGTAATTTTTGCATCTTGATTTTGTATCCTGAGACTATGCTGAAGTAGCTTATCAGCTTAAGGATATTTTGGACTGAGACAATGGGGTTTTCTAAATATACAATTATGTCATCTGCAAACAGAGACAATTTGACTTCCTCTTTTCCTAATTGAATGCTCTTTGTTTCTTTCTCCTGCCTGATTGCCCTGGCCAGAACTTCCAACACTATGTTGAATAGGAGTGGTGAGAGAGGGCATCCCTGTCTTGTGCCAGTTTTCAAAGGGAATGCTTCCAGTTTTTGCCCATTCAGTATGATATTGGCTGTGGGTTTGTCATAAATAGCTCTTATTATTTTGAGATATGTCCCATCAATACCTAATTTATTGAGAGTTTTTAGCATGAACGGCTGTTGAATTTTGTCAAAGGCCTTTTCTGCATCTGTTGAGATAATCATGTGGTTTTTGTCTTTGGTTCTGTTTATAAGCTGGATTACGTTTATTGATTTGCATATGTTGGACCAGCCTTGCATCCCAGGGATGAAGCCCACTTGATCATGGTGGATAAGCTTTTGATGTGCTGCTGGATTTAGCTTGCCAGTATTTTATTGAGGATTTTTGCACTGATGTTCATCAGGGATATTGGCACTCCCGCCTGGACAACAAGTGCGAAGCTCCGTCTATTAAAAAAATAAAGAAAGAAAGAACATAAAGAACAGAAGTTTATTTTCTCACAGTTCTGGAAGCTGAGAAGTCCAAGATCAAGGTGCTGGACTAATAGTACCTTCTAATGGCAGTCGATCCAAAGCTGCCCAGGAAGCTGTAATGGGAGCGCAGGTCCATGCTATGACTCTCCTTTGACAAGCAATCCCATAACTCACACTCCTTTTACAGTTACTCTGAAGCATCTCCAAAACGTTCTCACCCTTTCCTGAAAGTTCAGGTTTTGCAATGTGCCCCTGTAAAAACAGAGTATTCTGGGGCCAGGAGACTGGGAACCTCTGTGAGGTCTAGAAGCATTAAGACCAAATGGCTTCTCCTTAGAGGAGAGGCTCTGATCTAAATCGATATACCAAGAGCCATTGGGACTAGTATTTGAGATGGACTTGAGAGCTATAGAAAGAGGTTGGGCATCTGAATAATATATTAAAATTTCTCTGTTATTTGCAGTTTTATAGGTATCTAACTGCTCCTCATGTACTTTTTGTGGTAGAAGGAAGGAAACAAGTATATTTCTCACATTAATTCAAGATCAATTATTTCACATAAATGCCTACAATTTTACGATGGAAAGTTTCATTTTTAGTGAATTATCTGCCATATATTCATAGCTGATGAAAACTTATATATATATATATATGAATATATGTGTGAATTAATGAATATATATACATATATATTGTCCTTGCATTAGAATCAGAAAAATTCCAATGTAAAACTAAGTATGTGCATAATTTCATATATATATATATATATTTACATCTTACTGATCCACATAGATGGACATATACATAAATATCTATGTATCTATATATCTATGCATATAGCATACAAATTTTAGCATTTGGTTATATTTAATGACAATTATGAATTAAGTCATGTGATTTTTTTATTATTACATCCTGTGTTTGTGTGTCTGTGTATATGAAAAAATGAAAAACAGAAGCAGAAATTTTATGCAGAAAGATCTCTAGATAAAGTTTATTTAGTTTTAAGTATCATGAGAGGCATTCATGAGGTGGTTGAACAAAGCCAGGTAATTCTTAAATTTAGGCTGGTAGAATAGGCTTGAAATTCATCTGTATTTCTACAAAATGTGATATAGTCATTCTTGCCAGGAATCATTGTTTGTTAGTGCTCTGGAAGATGCCGCCGGTGACTATTATTTCCCCTCCAGACCTACAGTTCTGCTTGTTGCAATCACCATTCACACTAACTTGCTCATAATCATCAAAAATATGTTTCCAGCCTTACATTCTCCAGGCTATAGACATGACCATTCAATTGCTGAGGCTTCAAGGACACCCTGACGTGGTAATTGACCTCAATAACAGACTTCTTTACCTTCAGTAGTATGATTTATTTCCATTGAAAGAGCATTCATCATAGAATCAAACTTTGTCTAAAACTGTTGTTGGAAAAATAATTCGAATATTCTTGAACAAGTTGTGGCTCAGTCAATCCTAAATCTAAATTGTGTTTTAATATACTTTAATATAAGGAAACTTTAAATATTTAAATAACGAAAAATGCCTCATGTTCATAAAAAATAGAAGAAAATGAAATGCATAATTATACATTTGCCACACCTTTATCTACAGTTTAAACAGCAGCCTAAATAAAATTATAGATTTTTAAAGAAAGTTTATTTCAATTGAGAAATAATTCAGGTTAAATACTTGACTTTTTTAAGTACACAATTTTTCTGTAGATTAAAAAAATCACAGAAACTAACACAATTCTTCATTTTTTGTAGCTAATGCCCAAGAGAGTAAATAAGAATGCTATTTTTTTGGTGTAGGTGGGCCTAAAAGACTGAGTTTTTCTTTGTAAAATTTTGAAAAAGTCCAGTGAAATAGTATAAAATATATAGTTTCTATATGAATGAACTGCTATAAGCAGCATTTTATTCAACCATTTTTACGAGGATTAAAATATTTCTGTGCATTGAAATTTGCCTTGTCTATAACTTCTAAACATTATCTCTGGTTTTCTTTATTTTTTGTTTCTGTATTTTTTTTAATTTGAGACAGAGTTTTATTCTGTCACCTAGGCTGGAGCGCAATGTGGCTCATTCTCAGCTCACTGCAACCTCCGCCTCCTGGGTTTAAGGGATTCTCATGCTTCAACCTTCCAAGTACCTGGGAGTACAGGTGCCTGCCACCACACCCGGCTAACTTCTGTATTTTCAGTTGAGACGAGGATTTGCCCTGTTGGCCAGGCTGCTCTCAAGCAATCCACCCGTCTCAGCCTCCCAAAGCGCTGGGATTACAGGCATGAGCCACCACGCCCAGCCTGGTTTTCTTTATCTTCTGAACTCTAAAATTTCCATGGACATCCAAATGATTTCTCAGAAAATGTGAAACTTATTCTACACCTCTTCCTTAGAAATGTGCCCTTTCTACTCAGTTCCAGATACTGGTTAAGACAATTGAGAGAATATTTTCTGCCTTCTAGGATAGCATAAAGTGATCATCTGGCACACCTCCCTCTCCTTCACTGGACCATCAAAATTTCATGCATCACTAAATTCTATCAATATTAAATTTTTACCATTTCTTGAGTTATCTTGCCTTTTTTTATTCTTAATGTCCTCAGTCCATTGGCAAACTGGGTTTAAGTAACCACAATAACCTAAGAATTCATAACTACATTTATTTTGTCTATATTTATTTCAGTTATTTATTTATTTTGAGGTGGAGTCTCGCTCTGTTGCCCAGGCTGGGAGGCTCACTGCAACCTCTGCCTCCCAGGTTCAAGCGTTTCTCCTGCCTCAGCCTCCCGAGTAGCTGGGACTATAGGCATGCACCACTATGCCCTGTTAATTTTTGTATTTTTACAAAACACAGGGTTTCACCAGGCTGGTCTCGAACTGGGGTGATCTGCCTGCCTTGGCCTCCCAAAGTGCCAAAATTACAGGCATGAGCCACCGTGCCCATGTGCTAACAAAGCAACAACAATAACAAAAAAATGCAAAAAATCCCCAAAATTCAGGGGCTTCAAAAAACAATTCTTTTATCTCATCACTAGTGGATCAAGAATTTGATCAATTCTTCTGCTCTATGTGGCCTCTTCTGGGGTTACTTGGTGTTACTGAACTGGTTATTAAGTTTGTCTGGAGTGTCTAAGATTATGTCACTCACATGCCTGAAATTTGGCATAAACATCTGGAACAATGGGCTCATCTGGGCCATTCTCTCTGCTGAGGTCAACTCAGAGCTTCTTTTTGTGGTCTTACCAAGAGAGTGGACTTCTGATACAGCAACCCAAAAGACTCCAAGAGAGCAAGAAGGAAGCTGCCCATTTTCTTAAAGGCAAGACTGAGAACCACATGATGTCATGGCATCTGCCACACTTTATTGGTCAAAAGTAGCCACAGGTTACCTCAGATTCAAGGGAAGGGGGAATAAGGCCCCATTCTCTCAATGGGGTTTCCCTAAATATGTGCAGCCATCTTTAGTCTACCAGTCTTCCCTGTGGTCAAAAAGAATCGTGGTTATTATCAATCTGACATTTCTGATATATCTTACATTTTTCCAGTTTTTATACTGTTCTACAGAAATTCTGTCAGGACTGTCTTCCCAAAATACAAGGCTAATATTCCACTATAGAAAAACCCCAATTACCTTTCTGAACTTCCCTTCTTAGTATAAATGTTTACTTTTCTCCTTAATTTGCTGTTATATCTTACTACTGATTTTGTGTTTTAAGCACATTTTAAAGTACATTTTTTAGGTACATTTAAGTACATTTTCCTGATATAAGTACATAATAAATGACAGTTTTAGTGCTGTGATTCTGTTTCATTGGAGTTAGTCTCACTCAGGTCATGTCAGTGATAATGCTTCCTGTTGCGAGGCATAGAAAACTCTAATGGAATCACCTTATAAAATAAGGAATGTGTTTTAGCTCACTAAGAAATTCCTCAAGGTATTGTAGTTTGAAGAACTGATGTCACCAAGTGCCCCAGGTTTCTTTTCCTACTATTTTCTCCATTAGTCATTAGTTGGCTTTTCTCTCTCCTGGTAAAAAGTTGGTTGTAGCAGTTTACTTCTGTTTCTTGGCCAAAATTGCAATGAATATCTATTCCCAAATAAAGTGCTGTTAAGGGACATGAGACCTAAATGACTGGCTTACACTAATAAAGATGTGACTCTGAGTCTTAGGAAGAGAAAGGAGCAAGTGAACAAACCGAAGCTCTGCCAGCATGGAAGGAGGACTGAATGGCTACTGGCTTAGCAATGATGCCTAAAGACAGCTTGGAGAAAATGAGTCCCTAATCATTATCAGTTAATAGCTAACACACTTAGGCTGACAAAGCTTAATCATATTCAAAATTTTAACATTCCCCTCTTTTTACAAATTGTCTCTGATGCATAGAACATCATAAACCAAATATGTCTACCACCTAAGCATACGCTCTCTAATCTCTAATCTTAGTTTCAGCCGAAGTAAGTTAATTATAACAATATATTGTAGGAAATTCCCCAACCCGAGGCCATCTGCTCTTCCTTTCCTCCTTTCTCAAAATGAGATGACCGTAACAATAATTTTTCAAAAACTCATAGAAAGAGCTGCATCAGATGACTCAGCCTGTCTTCACAAGTACTGTTCTTAGTTTCTGCTTATTTTGGTACCATGAATTGGATTTTTTTCCCCTTTCCAATGAAATTCTTGTCTTGTTTCAAGCCTCAGTTCAAACACTAACTTCCTTTAAAACTCAGTCTAAGGGACCACTTAGGATCAAGCCTTCCCTCAGAGCTCTGGGGGCCCTTTACTTACCTCTCCTTAAAGGAAATCAGGACAGTGTATGCTTTAGGGTAAGAAGACGCTTGTTAATACCTGGATCTGCCCCTTACCTACCCTAAACAAGCCGTCTAATTTTCTTAAGTCCCTCATTTCTCAAGTGCAAAAAGTGAAATCAGAACTCATACTGTTACTGTAATGAATTATAAAATGATATATAAATGCATATTATTTTTACAATTATACTGTATTTTTATTATTTTATTTAAAATAATTATGTTGAGGAAATGAATACTTTGGAGTGACACTTTCCTTGGATATTTTGATAAAACGTAAGTACCTCCTTCTGATAATAATGAACATAAAGAAATACAACATTTTGCACATTTTATGATTTTGGAAATACAAAATCCTACTCAAGAATGTAGATTCAAATATACACAATAAGCAGAAACTTCCTACTTACTTTTTTCAGATAAAGATAGAATTGTGCCAAATAATGCCAGAATTCTTCTCGACTAATTTTAATTAAATTAATGGCACAATATTTCCTTTTTCTTACCTCCTTGGTGCTAAAGTCAATTTGGATAGGGGCTGTATTATGGATGCTGACTCTATTAGCACAGAAGGTATTATGAATCCACATTTCAATTTTAAATTCATCTGAAGGAAACATTTTAAAATGTTCTTTGTTTTCAGGTATCTGGGGATTTCTGTCCACAAAGAAACTGACAAGACTTTGTAGTTGTCAATTCCATCTTGAAGAAGTGCTTTTACCAGCTTTGCAAAGTTTGCATAATTGAGCTCTCGATCTCTTCTTCCAGAGTGGCAGGATGGAAAAGACTACATGGTTCTTTAAACAGCATCCATAATGGTGACCTCAGGGTCTTAAAGAAAGAAAAAGGGTTCTCATAAATATGGTCAAAATCATCCAAGACAGTGAGGCACTGGAAGAATTCATTCTTCCTGAATTATTCAGAAATTGACCAATCTCTTTTCAAAAAACAATTATTTATATACAAAGGTATGTTTTAAGACATGTCCTATTTTTAAGAAACCACTGACTCTCTACATAATAGATAAAGATATATCACCCTAATGTTTCTTCAGAGACTTTATTTAATCAAGATCTTCTTTGACCCAGATTATAAAGTTAAGATTTTCGTCCCTATAGGAAAATGCATTTTGGCCTCATTAGCAGAGGCATTGATGCTGATGGGTATTCACACAGAAAATCATGAGTCACAAAGCCATCTGGAGTTGTATCCTTCATTCATGTAGCAAAATTAAATGAAATACACAACATCACATGTTTTCTATCTGAGCTCAGAGTGAGAAGACTTTTCTTCAAAACTTTTACTTAGAAATTATTTGCAGGTTTTGAAAGTATCAACTGCCTTTCTTGTTTTCTGAAGGGCATCACAAAATAGAAATTCTCCTTTACAATTCAACATGTACTCGGATAGACAGATGCTTAAAAACTAGGTTGCTGAGAAGTTACGAATACTGTTGTGCAGATGTGTGTTGACAGAAAGCGGCAGAGCTGAGAAATCTACTATGTTTTACTGAAAAATACTGAAGAAAGACGAGTGATTCAAAAGTGACGACATCAGTGGGCAGGCATGGTAATTACATTCCACTCCTCTGATTAAATTTATGAAATAGCTGAATAATTTCCAGGATACATGAACTTACCACACTCTCTTTGATATCCTGTAACTTCTTTTGATTTTCCATCCAACAAGCAACTTTGAAGGGGTCTTTATATTAAAATTTTTTGGTAAAATTCCAACCTTCCCAAATAGGTCCATTTTCTTTTGGAAAAGTTACACATTTACCTTAGCTTTGCGGGCTTCATGCATGTCATCCAAGTAGGGCCATAGCTTTTGTTTTCAAATAGAGATGGAAATGAGTGAGTGTGGTTTGTGATGCTTTTTGTCTATAACATTTTTCATTATATGCTGAGTCTTGTATACATAAAGATGATTATCATAATTGTAATTTTCTTCAAATTTTATCAAGTGAAAAATATTACAGAAAATGTGACAAAAATTACTACAATCTTGAAAATTATAAACAGTGTTATCCTATTATGTACTTATTTTAAAGGAAAACTTAAGAGGAATAGAAAAGAAATTGGAGAGGGAAAAAATATCTGGTTTATTACTTACTGGCTGTGTCCACTTGGGTAAATTACTTAACTTTCCCAAGCCAGTTCCTCAAATATAAGATGAGAATGAGTACATCTATCTATTTTTAAATTAAGGAATATAATTATTATCCTTTAACTTTTAGAGGCCAGGAGTGGTGGCTCATGCCTGTAATCCCAGCACTATGATAGGCTGAGGCCGGTGGATGGCTTGAGCTCAGGAGTTGGAGACTAGTCTGGGCAACATGGTGAAACTCTGTCTCTACAAAATATTTAAATATTAGGCGGGTATGCCTGTAGTCCTAGCTACTCAGGAGGCTGAGAGATGGGAGAATCCCTTGAGCCTGGGAGTTGGAGGTTGCAGTGAGCTGAGATTGTGCCACTGCACTCCAGCCTGGGTGACAGAGCCAGACCCTGTCTCAAAAAAAAAAAAAACAAACAAAAACCTTTTAGGATGCTTAGCTAATATCTGGTATATAAGAGCACTACAAGCCTTTCTTTCTTTCTTTCTTTTTCTTTCTTTCTTTTTCTTCTCCTTCCTCCCTCCCTCCCTCTTTCTTTCTTTCTTTTTTTCTCCTTCCTCCCTCCCTCTCTCTCTTTCTTTCTTTTTTCCTTTCTTTCTGTCTCTTTCTTTCTTTCTTTTTCTTTCTTTCTCTTTCTTTCTCTCTTTCTTTGTCAACTTACATGCCTCTACATATTATTTGAGGACAGATCCTGAAAATTTGATATAGCTCAGTGCTTGAACATTTTAGGTGCTAAGATATTTTATGACTTGCAATCATATTTTCACAACCTTTTTAACACCTGCTGTTTAAGAGCACTATTTATTATTCTGCCAGTCAGATTTGTTGTTTCAGAATCTTGTGTTCCATATTTGATCACCATCTTCTGTTACTTATTCAATTCTAGATGTTAGAAATGTATTGATTTTTTGTTTGGACTTTTATTGGCCATTTCCAAACATTTCGTGGTTTGATTGAAACTGTGATAGATTCCATACCTCTGACTCAATATTCAAGGCCCTAGGTTCTGGCCATTGATCCCCAAACTGCCTCTATTTACAGCTTTGTCTGAGCCTTTCTCAGGAAAAGTGCCCAAGGATGATCCAATAAGCAGGAACATTTCAGAGGATACAACTGTCTAATGCATAGTGCTTCTCTCTTATTCCCAACTCTTTTTCAATATTTCATTATACAGTCAATTTTAAACTTTTCAAAATTCAGTTATTGAGTTTGCAAATGATATAAGCCTGTGTTCTGTTTGTTTTACACTATTATTCATAACTGTTATCTTTCCATGAAAATTGATCAAGGCTTACTGCTGTATCTGCCCAAATAGTTGTATTTATAATGGAAAGAAAAAATCATTGTATCTGCTAGTTTATCAAAAAGGGGTGCCAGCGTGTGCTTTTTTGCATCATACTGCTGCTGCTAGCACTTCAGTAGCTACTCACGATCTACTTGGCTACATCTACTCCAACTTTGAGGAAACACACTTCTTCCTATAACAGCAGACACAGGACTAGCTGAACACTTCTTTAGTTGCTGCTCAAAGATCTGCTTCTAACAAAGTGTACACATAAGATGTGGGACAAGAATCAAGGATACAGAAAAAAGGAAAGGAACTATATGTACTATTTTGATGAATTACATGTCTTGGTGCTATGAAGGCACCAACATTTCTGTGATATAAAACAGGAAGTATTTGGATTTCCAATGGTCAAATATGTACCAAGCCCTTAATTCCAAAAATTCAAGAAAAAAAGGTTAGTACTGAATCAAGATATATTAACATGTGAGTAATGGATGCCACAGGCTACAACTCCAATATTCCACACCACCTTTCAAAGTGAAAGCACACATTTCTCTGGATCCTTGGAGCGTTAACTGTGGTGCCACAGTGTTGTGGCTCCTGGCGATTGATTGCCCTTTGCTGAAGAGATTTGCTTCTCCTGCCTTATCTGTGATCTCATGTGTACATGGTTGGATGCTATGAGGTATAAAGATCCAGATACCATACCTTTCATAAGGCAAATTTGGTAGGCCATACCAGCTCTAGAACTACCTAAAGGACAGACTTAGGCCTTTGTGGTGACTATGCAGCAGCCTAATTTCTCCCTACTAAATCCTGCTTTCTTTTCTTTCTCTCAGGAGTTGATCCTGAGAGCACTCCTTAATAAACTTCTAGCACACAAATCGCCAGCTCCAGTCTGTTTCCCAGGGAACCTGACCTGCAACACTAAGTGTATGACTTTTTACAGAAATGTAATGAAATTTTCTGCATCATTTTGTCATGTGAAGTTTTCAGGTGTCTCACGGGCTTATGCTGGATAAACAATAATAGCCAGGTTTACACTGATGCCAAAATAATTATGATCAAATAAACCACTTGGTAAGAATTAAAGTAGGATTTAAAACAAGAGATGAAGTCTCATTGTTCTTCTGCTTATTGGACCATAATAGAAGATGAATATTATACCGAAATTAGATAATAAATTCACAATGTGACCCCATAGAATTAAGCAATAATTTTTTGTTGTTGAAATTGCATGATGCTCTCTAATTTATTAAAGGATAGTTAAATATAAATTTGAGAGACAGAAAAAAAATGACATGATCAAAGACATATCCTCTACGTAGAGTAAAATCCAAGAGATTTTGCCCTTGGAAGCCAAGGGCAAATACCTTGTCCTATCCCTTTTGAAACAACAGCACATCATTGAAATGGGACATAAGAAAAGCTAAACAAATTTACTAAACCAGAACAAAGCAGCCCCTATTTATTCTGTGGCATTCTAACCTTGCCTGGCATCCTGGTTTTACTTACCAGGTTTTGGAAAACTCCCTTGATTACACAAGGTACTATTTTCTGCTGTACATGATTGTCAATGGATGCTCAGATAGATGAAAGACTCTTGGAAATGGAGTGCTCACTCTAGCAATGAAAGCTCCAGTGAGAGTGAGCAGTTGCCAAGTCTGACTGCCAGGGCTTCCTGTGAGCTTCCTCTCCACCACCGTGGAAAGAAGGGTGTGGGTTTTTGTGCTGATTTGCTACATTTTTTTTTTTTGCCTTTGAGACTCGTAAAGCATGAGTGAGAACACTTTCATCCCAATTATATCCAATTAAGGTTCCTGTGTGATGAAGTACAATTTGTATTATAAATAGAGAGACTCTGGAAATTAGAAGAAAATAGGTAATCATTAAAAATCAGATGTGATAAAGAAGTTGAGTATTTGAAGGAAATTATCTTAGGAGAAAATAAACTGATATTTTCAGTTTTTAAAAAGCCAATTATAAGTTACAAAAAAATAGCTTGATGAATCCAACAATCCTTCTGAATTGGGTATTTTTTATAAGATATAAAAATCTTGTGCCTGGAAATATTTTAAAGGGATACTTTAATTTTGATTCATGATAGATATAAGTAACGCTTTAAGCAGTGTATGTACAAGGGTAACTGTACTTCAAAGAGGAGAAATCTGAGTCTAATTTGCACTTGAGAAGAGGCACATGAAGGACTTCAGTCAATATAGAGAAGTTCATTGTATTTCTGTGTTAAGTATTTGATACACTCTTTTGGTAGTGTAGTCACATACTTAATTTGCATGAAGAGTTTTTCTTAAATGTCAGAAGTGAGATATGACAATAAGTATTCTTTTTGATTAACATGTTCAAAATTGTGCCTGACCTTAAATGAAGATATGCAATAATAACTCACTTCAAAAATGTGAATTTGATCTTTATAAATTGAAACAAAAAATTCATACTGACAATTGAGATCAGAAAGCCTTACCTTGTACATATAGAAACAGTGCTAAAATATAGATTTTATCAGCTTTCAGATGCTTTCTTACACTGCTATTACTAGGCTTCATTATTGAAAATTCATTATTGCCTTTTTAAAAATGTCTTTGCACTTTAGTGCATTTATGAGCTGTCTTCTCTATAAAATACAGTACAACAGGCAATTTTCTGCTGGTAATAATTTAAATAACAACATTTGTTTTATAGTAAGTTATTATGTAGTGAAGCCCTCTTATAAAGGCATTACAACACCATATGTCTGACACATACACACGTGTGTGTTGTTTTGTATGTGAATGTTCATAAAGCCACACATATGGAATTACACTACAATTTTTGACAGCCCCTTCCATTAAGAGACTTTGTTTATATTCAGATATCTGAGAAGACTTCCCAGGAGCATTATTATACCATGTAAACAATAATATTTTTAGGTAATATAGAAGTGAGCTTCACTGTTATTGAAGGTCTAGTGACTATATTTTAATACTCCTACACCCATATAATATAAACTACTCAGGAGATGTGTAATCTATTCAATGAGATGTTAAGTTTGCTTAATAATTGGGCATCCATAATAATATTTGATTATTTGTAGCTCTATTTTCATCCTTGAATGCCAGTCCTAATGTCTCATGTTGCTTGTATCACCAATCAGTTCAAATTAACTGGCAGTTCACTGATTAGTTATTACTTGATGTTTAAAAAGAATCTTTCCGGCCGGGCGCCGTGGTTCACACCTCTAATCCCATCACTTTGGGAGGCCAAGGCAGACAGATCACAAGGTCAGGAGACCGAAATCATCCTGGCTAACACGGTGAAACCCTGTCTCTACTAAAAATACAAAAAATTAGCTGGGCGTGGTGGCGGGTGCCTGTAGTCCCAGCTACTCAGGAGGCTGAGGCAAGAGAATGGCGTGAACCCGGGAGGCAGAGCTTGCAGTGAGCCGAGATCGCTCCACTGCACTCCAGCCTGGGCGACAGAGCGAGATTCTTTCCTTTAGCGTTATGTGTTTGTATTGGTTTTACCAAATTCAAATAAAATATACTGGCAGGGCATGGTGGCCCATGCCTATATTCCCAACACTTCGGGAGGGCAAGGCAGGAGGATCCCTTAAGGGCAGGAGTTTGACAAGCCTGGGAAAAATAGCAAGACCCTCTCTCTACAAAAAATAATAATAAAAACTTGGGTGATGTAGCACAAGTCTGCACTACCAGCTACTTGGGAGGCTGAGGCAGGAAGAGTGTTTGGGCCAAGGAGTTTGAGGCTGGAATGAACCATGATCTTGCCACTGCACTGCAGCCTGGGCAAACGAACAAGACCCTGTCTCGAAGAGTAAATCAATAAATAATAAATAACAAAATAAAATAAAGACTTTTTGGGACATAGTCACCAACTATTCCTATGTGCCAGCTGCCTATGAAGGGATCCAAAGGGAAAAAAAATAACTTTAACCATCATCTCCCAAATTTTAATCTATTGATTACATTCTGAATGATACCCACTTCAAATATGCCCAATAAGGGAAAGTCATACTGGAAAAGGGCTGTGTATAAATGTTGTTCTATTCTATTTCTAGTTTTCACACTGTACCTACTCCAAGAGTGAATGGTATAATATATTGTTTCTCCTTTCTCTCCCTGCCCCAAGAATTATGTATATTTTTAAATCTCTCTAGTTTTCTTAATGATAAGTTAATTAGGTTCTATGATTCCTTATCTCATTAAAAAGTAACTTTAAATCCCACTGGGAACACTGTAACTCTTTAGGTTAAAGACAGTGAAGACTATTTTAACTAATAAGAAAGGTATATGCTATTTAACTCAAAAGATACATTTTCTGCCTGCACTTTTTCAATTCAATAATATCATAACTTGAATTAACCGGTACTTTCCTCCTTCTTCTGAGGTAATCCATTATCCATTTCCTTCTCATTGTGAAATTACTTCTTATCTTTCAAGTCTCTTGTTGAACACTACTTGCTTTTCTCAAATTTTTATCTATACAGTACTGTCACCAGAAAATTTGTCATATATTTACATTTAAACTGTGAGCAGATGAAGATTTGCAGTTCCCTGTCCCCACCCCCTGTTAAATAAGGTTAAAAAATAAGACATTATGAAGTAGCATGAGAATTAGAGGGGTCTTGTGTCACAGATGCTAAGGGAAATGTAACTCTAAAAAGAGATGCATGAAATAGCACAGAGATGTCAAACAAGACAAGAACAGGTGGTGGGGAGCAAGCAAAGCTCTGAATTCCCACTTCAGCTCAGTGGGACTTTTCAGTTTTATGCAGCAGATTCCACAGGAGATTCAATTTAAAGAAAGGTTCCCTGGAATTAAAACAAAGGAAGATAAAAGTTTCTAAAATAATCAATCAAAAGGACATTGTAAAAAGAGTCAGAAGATTGGTGTTAAAAAAAATAATGGTATTGCTACACTGTACCTATCTTCATTAGCTTGCTATTTAATTTTGTACCTCAACCGTATGGTAAGGAACTTGAAATAGACTGGTCTGTTTGTTTGTTTGTTTGTTTGTTTTTGAGACAGAGTCTCACTGTGTCGCCCAGTATGGAGGGCAGTGGCAAGATCTCGGCTCACTGCAACCTCCGCCTAACAGATTCAAGCAATTCTCCTGCTTCGGCCTCCCGAGGAGCTGGGACTACAGGCACCTGCCACCACACCTGGCTAATTTTTGTATTTTTAGTAGAGATGGGGTTTCACCATGTTGGCCAGGCTGGTCTTGTACTCCTGACCTCAATTGATCTGCCCACCTGAGTCTCCCAAAGTCCTGGGATTACAGGTGTGAGCCACCACGCCCTGCTGAAACAGACTAGTTTTTAGATGCCTTGCACTCATAATATGATTTTGATTACATTAGAGGCAGTTCGATAGTAGTGGATTATGTGGAATTTAGAGATAGTATACTTGGATAAATACTTGAGTCGAAGACTAACCGGCTGTTTAACATTAGGAATTTTACTTAACCTTTCTGTGTCTTAGTTTTCTTATCCGTAAAATGCTGGTAGTAAAAGAACCCAACTTTAGGCTTATGGAGAGAATTAAATAAGTTAAAATAGAAAAATATTTGAAATATTCTGACATAGTAGGTGATATATAAATGTTTGCTATTCATCATGACCATGTGACTTCAATATTTAGTTTCAATAGAATATCAATATAGCAGTATGAACTCCAATGTTAAGTGATAAAGGAAAGTTGTAACTAATTCTGTGAATCTCTCCCCTGTAAGGTCACTTTCCTTCTGTGTCCTGAGATAAAAAAAAAAAAAATCGTACAGTGCTTTAAAAAAATCACAGAGTGGCACAGCAAGCTGATGTTTTCCTAGCAGGCTGGATCCCATACTAGGCCCTGAATATTCCCAGGCACCGATAAAGCCATCTAGGTTGTTGTCCAAAACACTGAAAGAAACTGGCCCAGCCCTGAGCCAAATGCATTAAACCCTGATGTAAACTCCACATCCTGGCCTTCTGGCTGCAGGCATTCCTAGCTAGAACATCCCTTTGTTCTCTCTGTCCATCTCCAGGATTGCTGCAGCACTCTGTACAAAGGGCCTCTACAAGGGCTTTGGACTGATCTCCCTCTCGTTTAGTGCTTCTTTCTCTGGAATCCCAGCCAGCCTCCTCCCAGGAAGGTTTGGGGCACTTCCTTGTGGGAACCTTGCTACCACTTTTGGAGCAACCTCAGTGGGCAGTTCAGGACAAAACCCTCTAAACTCCAGATGACAGTGATGCTCTCCTATGTGAACCTGATGAGAGAAACCCAGGACTGGAGGGGACAGTAAAGTCTAGGACAAATTGAGCCTATCTTTATTTCCTTACAACCATCCCCACCAAGTGCCTGTGCAGTAAGTGCTCACTCAACATTGCCGGTCAGTTCTTGGAAACTGAGACTTCAAGCAAAATGACTATAAAGAAACCAATTTTCCCATAGGTTAATTGATATGGACTAAAGTTCCTGGTCACAAAAACATTACCAAACTTCTAAACAAACAAACAAACACCAAAATACTTCTAATATGAAACATTGAAATACATGTGTGCTATATACATACATTTAAAAGGGATTAATCAAAACAAGTAAGATAATTATTTACCTGCTTATTTCAGTCCAGGGTATCATCCCACAGCAGGGTGATTCACAGTCACCCACACTCACTCACACTGGGACAATGTACACACACCAGTGAACCAAACATACACAGCTTTGGGATGTGGCAGGAAACCAGAATCCTAGGAGAAAACCCATGAGGATGTAAGGAGAAAATGCAGCGTCCACACAGACAGTGGCTCTGGCTAGAAAGCCATTTTTTTATTATTATTATTTTTTTTATTTTCTTATCAACATTATGACAAAACAACGTTGAACAAAACAATGTTAGTGGAAGACCTGTGGTAAAGCATGTTTGACCACGGACAGTGAGAGTTAAATTACAATTTCCTAAGGGATTGAAATGCACTCACAAATAGATTATTGAACTAGCTGAACCAGAAAGGGCAAAATCAATTTGTTTTTCCTCCCACCATGCTTTTCTAAGCCTACCGTATTGGATTTCTTGTCTCTGGCACTGGAGAAAATATGGGGCAGAAGGCAAAACTTCCAAGTTACTCTCAATCTCATTTTCAGAAATTAACAACCTATCTCAATGTAAATAAAATATAAATCATCATTCCATTAAAAAAGTTCCTCTCCCTCACAGCTCCCTGGCAAGTCAATGCTCGGAGAAACCAGCAGTGGATAAAGAAGCTGTAATTTCCTCTGTCTTTCTTGCTCCATCTCAACCCCACTTCCTCTATCCAGGGTCAGAGCAGCAAAATTTAGGGGAAGAGCATTAGAATTTATTACTTGAATGTTGCCATTACAGTCTGATGTTGAAACCCCCCTTTTCTGGGGCAGATGTCTGAGTACAGGCTCTTTCATGGGATGCTTTCTTGATTATTCTGAGGTGCACCTTTGTGTAATAATGAATTTGGCTGGCATATATCCCAGGTTCCTGGGAGGTAACCTCTAAACTGCTAGAATTTATCAAGCGATTGGAGTGTTTTTGTTATACTTCCTAGGCCGTTATGCTAATGAGGTGATCCATGATTTACGGTAAATAAATGATGGAGGCTGGGGTTGGCCATGGCAGAAAGAACATGTGGTTAGAAGGTCAGGACATTGGAGCTAAGTGATATCCGCCTGGCCTCTGCAGAAGAGAGGAGGCCGGACTGCAGATTGTGTTCAACCAAGTGACTCATGATTCAGTCACTCATGCCTACATAATGAAGGCTCAACAAAATAATCTTGAAATTTACAAGTGTGCTGTAAATTTTTTAGAATATTTGATATTCCATGTTTTCTAAAATTACTTGATCATAAGAACATTTTAAAGAGTAACATCTGATAGGACAATTCCATGGTATACCCGATTGTAAAAAAAGATATATATCTCTTTTTATTCATTCATTGTTAATATTCTTTATGATTTTGCAGAATGCCTTTGTTCAAACTCCTTAAAGACAGCCTTTGGCTAATTGAAGAACTAATTTGTGTCCATTCATAAAAACTTCTTTGGCTCATTTTTAATTTGAAATACTTTGAGTGGCTTTACCATTAAAGATGTTGTTTTTTATTTAATAAAATATAGATACTATAATACTCAGGTGTGTTTTAGCCAGTATAGGGTAGTGTGATATCAAATCTCTAATTTTATTTAGTTTATTATATCAAATTATATTGTATCACTATATTATTAATAAATCATATAATTATACTTTCAAATTTTTTTTAGGGTGGGATAATCTCTTTACTTGGTTGAATGTTAATAACTCACTATTAACTAGAAATTGATAAGCATTTATAGACATGGGACTAACAATCATTCATCTTCCATCCTTTATTGGTGTACACTACTTATGTATAGAGCACTAATTTGGCAACTGTTTTTGAAACTTTAAAAATGTAGTGTCAAACTCATTTCATAGATGAGAAAAGCAGCAGAATTTTAGTCGTCCAAGGTGATTTAACATATCCTGCCTGGGTTAGTAATGTGATATTTCTTCAGTATATGGCTTTCCATCTTAATTAGATTTCTTGAAGTCTAGGAACTATATTTTTTTCACTTTACAATTTTAAATGTTAATGGTAATTGCCAAATTCATATTTCCTGTAGATATAAACAAATGAAAAACTTTTTAACTTCAATACAATTTGACCAATTATTAAATACAAATGATGAATTTTTCCTTTTAACAAAACCCTTTTAACAACACAATGATTAACTTCATCGTAGATATTGACAGCTACTTAAGTTTATGTAGTTTGTACTAAGCAACCAACTAGAAGGATAATATAAAGTTAAAGCTTCAAGGGCTCTTTTAATATATAAGCAGATTTACAGCACTGCTTTAAGGCCTTGAGGCCTGAAACCATCTACTACATTAATCAAGAGTATGCCTAATTCTTAATATTGGCACATACAGTGGTTATACAAGTTCAATTATTTGTAGCAGGTTAAACAATATTTAATATGCTTGGAAACATCAGGATTAATAATAGATATGTTCCTTTAATCTGTTTGGAGGATATGCTCAGTTTTTGTAATAATCCCTTACTACATTCTACAGCTTTCTGTTTGGATTACAAGAAAAAAATGGATGAGAATATATATTTAATATTTATGTGCATGTGGAATCTAAAGAAGGACAATGTTAATCCTTGCTAACAAAAGTCTCAGAATAGTAATGAGTTGTGTGTATATCTCCAATGTTAGAAAATGAAAAAATATGATGTAGAACTATATTTATGGTTTTGCTTAATATCTTTCTTACTCTGGTTTTTATGGATTTTCATTCATATTATTGAGATTTTCATAATTATGATGATCAAATAGGATGAGATATATTTCTCTAAAAATAGTATGGTCTTTTTATTTTGATATTAAGATGAATTTTCAGAAAATGAAGTATTGGTGATTAAAGCTAAATTTTCATTCCAATAGACCTAGAAACTTTTTCCTTTAGAATAGAAACTTTGTTAGCATTTATTAATTATATTAATTATGTTCAGTTTCCTAGTTTTTCAGCCATTTTCCCATCAAGTGTGATGCTATTTTGTGGGAAAAAAAAAAAGTCTTTAATGGAACAAATAAAATCTTCAGAACCATCTGACTCATCAGGAATTGAAAATACCAAGGTTTTTCAATTCTTCCAGCATGGTAGGATATATTCACTATGGGTTATCTTTCCTACTGATTACAATGAAGAACTAAATAAAGTACAAAAAAAGCAATTATCTGAAGAGTTTAAAAAATAAGTAAGAACAAGTAGATCACAGAAGGAAGTCAAAATCAGAGGAAGTAACCTGTAAAGGAATGTGTTTCCTCTTTATTTTTATTATTTTATACTCATTGTTCTTATGGTGTGCCCCAAAGGCAGGTTCCAGTGGTACAAGTGCACTCAAGAGAAGTAGAAAAATAAAATCTAATGGAACTGGATAAAGAAAACTGTGTGGGCCAGAGAGTGTCACAGAATATCTTAGAGGGGAGACAACAAGAAAAGAAGAGTTCTCAATTTTGTGCATGAGTGGAAACTAATCTGGGGCTCATTTATGACATCTACATATGTGGGATGGACGTGCTGCAACATAGCAAAGACCCTGAAAAGCTGGGATTGAAACTAGCATTTAAAGAAGGCAAACTAGCCTCATGGCCTGAAACCAGTGAGTTTGATTTTCTGCAAAACTAAAGAAAATAAACACTCTCTAGATTATAACAGTATTCATAATCTAAACATAACATTCAAAATGTCACTGATATAATCCAAAATTACTAAGTTCACAAGGAACCAGGAAAATATGGCCAATTCTCAAGCAAAGTGAAAATCAACAAATACTAATGTAGAAATGACCTGGACATTGAAATGATCAAATAAAGACTTTTAATCATCTAGTATAATTGTCCTCCATAAGAAAAAGATAAACATACTTAAATATAAATGGAAAGACAGAAGTTCTTAGCATTGAAATAAAAAAGAATCAAAAGAACATTTTAGGACAAGGAAAAGGAATAGTTGTAAAATAAAATCATTATATGGGCTTAATAGCACAATGAAGATGACAGAAGATGGTTAAGTGAATCTGAAGATAAATCAATAACATTTATAAATCCTGAAGGTCAGAGAGAAAAAAAAATTTAAAACAAAAATAAACAGAGCTCCTGGCCTAATATCAAGAGATATAATATATATTCCATCAAAGCACTAGAAGGATAGACAATAGAAATAGGAAAATAAAAATATTTGACAAAATAATAGAGTTTTCAAAATTTGAGAAGAAAAATATAAATTTACGGGTTCAAAAATCTTGTGAAACCTCAAACAAGATGAACTTAAGGAAGCCAACCAAGACCCATCATAGCCACATTTCTAAAAGTCAAAGGGGGGAGAAAACGTGAAGGTAGGTAGGGAAAAATAGTATTTTATATATATGAGAAAAACTACATAAATAGCAGGTCTTACCAGAAACTACAAAGGCCAGAATATAGTAGAAGAGCATCTTGAAAGTGCTGAAGGAAGAGAGCTGTCAACCTAAATCTCTGTATTCAGCAAAATTAAATTTCAGAAATAAAGACAATATCAAAACATTATAAATAAAAGAAGACTGGAAAAATATGTTGTCAGAAGTCCTACCCTAAAGGAATGCTAAAGAAATATCTTTAGACTAAAGGAAGAAAGAAATTTGGATCTTCAGAATTGAAAGAATAGTAACAAAAATGGCAGCTGTCTGGATAAATTATTTGAAAGATAATTGTTGAAAGCAAAAATTTATATTATGACAGTATTTTCTGGTAGATACATATAAGTAATATATTGGATATATATATGTATAATAAATAATATATACATGTATTTATGACCACTATGGCAACCAACTAGAATGTGAAAATTTAGGCATTATATTCTGTAGAGGAACCATGAAAATAATATAAAGATATGTCACTTTAAAAAGTTAATTCATAAATAAAAATAGAACACAAAAATATCCAAGTAAATATAAAGAATGCAGGAAAGAGAGAATAGAAGAATAAAAGTTAAAAAGGACAAAGAAAAAAATTAAAATATGGTAGACCTAAACATAGCCAGATGGATATTTACATTAAATATAATTGGACTGAAGATTTCTGGTTCTAGCTAAGATGAAATCAATACATACCATGCTATGTCTCCCATTAATTATAACTAAAATCCCTGAACAGAAAATGTAAAACCTGATGACTCTTAAAATAAATAATTCCAGGCAGGCCGAGGAGGGTAATAGAATCTAAAAGAACAACAACACAGCAGTGAATTTTCTAGTCCGTTTCCCTTTCCTATCTTCTGACTAAGTGTCAGGGTGGTATATCTTAATTCACTTTGTGTGGCCGTGACAGAATACCTGAGACTAGGTAATTTATAAAAAGCAGAGATTTATATCTTATAGTTCTGGAGGCTGGGAAGTCCAAGGGCAAGGTTCCCACATCCTGCAAAGGCCTTCTTGTTGTGTTATACCTTGGGGCAAGGCAAAGGGTAAGTGAGAATACTTGCAAGAGAAGTGAAGGTGGGTGAACTCTTCCTTTTATCAGGAACCTACTCTCAAGATAACCACCCTACTTCAGATCATGGCATTAATCCATTCATGAGGGCAGAGCCCTCACAACATAAGCACCTCTTAAAGGTTCCACCTTTCAACACTGTTGCATTGGGGATTGTTTCCAACACATGAACTTTGAAAGATACATTCAAACCATAGCACAGGCTTAATATCAGGATGCTTAATGAGCATGACCAATAGAGACTCTCCACTCTGTCCCTCTGTGTATGTCTCTTTCTCTTTTTCTCTCCTTCCTAGAAATGGAAAGGTTGAGGTGTTGTTAAAGAAGAGGAGCTTGAGAAGGTGTAGTGGGTTGAATAGTGTTCTATTCAAATTCATGGAACACCGGCATCTCAGATTGTGATATGATTTGGAGATAGAGCCCTTACAGTTGTAATTAGTGATAGTGAAATGAGTTCATACTTGACTACAGCGGGCCCTGAATCCAATGACAAGTGCCCTTATAAGAAGAGAAAAGGAGGCAGAGAGATTTTTTACGTTCAGAAATGTATCTGTGGAAGCCCAGGGGGAGGCAGAACCCCCACTCCCACCCAGCACTAACAGGGAGACTCTGTCCCATCCTGTTGTCAATGGAGGCTGAGCAGAGAACCTTGCAGACATCTCCTTTCTTCTGCTAAAGTGAAGTCAGAGGCACTCAACTAAAACAAAGGGTTTAAATAAGATCCAGACAAGTTTTGATTGAAGATCACTCACTTCAAGAACAAAGAAGATTTCCAACTGACTGAAAAAGGCAATTAATAAATGCCAACATTGAGGTAATGGAAGGCTAGAATTATCTGACAGAAAGAGCTTCAACTAGTAATTAAAACAAAAGAATTTAAACAAAAATAGCATGCACCAACAAAGCAATAGAAAGTGTCAACAAAGATTTAGAAGATATAAAACAGATTTCAATGGAAATCTTAGAACTGAAAAATAATGGGTGAGCTTAACAGAAAAATAGAGGAAACAGAGTGAATATTCAGTGGACCAGAAGATAGAACTATAGTAATTATCCAATCTGAGCAACAGAAAGAAAATAGACCAAAAAATTAAAAAAAAATAGAGCTTCAGATTACTGTGCATCTACAACAAAAGATCTAATATTTGTGTGATATGAAGTCCTGGAAGGGGAGGACAAAGTGGGTAAGTTAATAAGTGCTTGAAAAAATAATGGCTCAACAAATGTTTGAAAAAACATAAACCTACAGATTAAAGACACAGAGTGACTTCCATCATAAACCACTCCCAACACACACACAAAGCACACACACTTATCACAATATATATTGTTGTCAAGTTTCTGAAAAGAAAAATCTTAAAAGCAAAGAGAATAAAATGACAAATCACTACAAGAAAGATAATTTATATGACAGTGAATTTTGATTAGAAGACTTGGAGCTCAGGAGAAAGTGGCACGTTTTTCATGTGTAAACAGAAAGTAACTGTTAAAGCAGAATCCTCTATCCAGCATGAATATTTTTCATAAATAAAAGGAATATTTTTCAGCATTATAATATAAAGGAAAACTAAGAGAATTTATCACCAGTAGACTGATATTTTTTTAAAAAGAATGGCTAATGGAAATTCACTAAACAGAGGAGAAATTATAAAAAGAGAAATCTTTGACTATGAGGAAGAAAAAAGAATATAATAAGCAGAATTATGGGTATATATGATATTCTTTCCTTCTCTCAAGTTTTCTAATTTAAATTTAGTGGTTGAACCAATTTTTAACACTAATTCATTTTAAAATGTTATGTAGAAGAAATGTTTAAAATGATTGTAAAAGAGGAAAGTATCAGAACATAAAGAAAGGTAAGTTTTCTACATCCCACTTAAGTTGGTAAAATGATGACATCGGTCACTGGTCATGTTATGTATATAGAATATAATACCTAAAAGAACCACTAAGACAGGATATACAAAGTGTATATAACAAACAGTATAGGCAATCTAAATTGAATTCTAAAAATTGTTCACTTAACCCACAGGAAAGCAGGAGAAAAAAAAAACAGAAACAAAAAACAAACAGAACAAAAATAATAATAAATTGTAGACTTTAATAGTAAATATCTGTAATTGCATTATATAGTCAAAATATACCAATTAAAATGAAGAGATACATGAAGTTGATTAAAATATATTTTCCAACAAACACTGTCCACAAGCAGGTGGATAGTAAAAAAATGAGAATGATATATCATTCAAGCCTGAATCAACAGCAAAGAGGAGTGCCTGTATTAACGTCAGAGAAAGTAGGCTTCAAGGGAAAGAAAATTACCAGTGATAGAAATGGACATTGTATAATAAAAATATAAATCCACCACATAGACATAGAAATCTTAAATGTGTATAAATCAAATAACAGAGCTATAAAATTTACAAGAGAAAACTGACAGAACTGAAAGGAGAAATAGACAAATGAATAATTATTGTTGGAGACTGAAACTTCTTTTTCTTAACAATTAACTGAACTAGACAGGAAATTAGAAAGAATATAGAACAATCCAACAATACCATCCATCTACAGGACCAAATCAACGTCTTAAAATGTTTCACTCAAAATACTTACTCTTTTCAAATGGCCATGGACAATATAGCAAGATAGAACATATCTATCTCTGTGAAACAAACTAATTTAATTTAAAATAACCGAAACCACACGGAATGTGTTCTTGGATCACAATGGAATCAAAGTATAAATTAATAATCAAAATAAAGTGGGAAAATTTCCAAGTGCTTAGAAATAAAATAACACACTTCTAAAGAAACCATGGCTCAAAAAGAAAGTCTCAAGGTCAATATACAAAATTATATTTAACTAAGTAGATGTATGAATATTAAATATCAAAATTTGTGGAACATACCTCTAGCATGAATAGAAAAGAGAGACATGACACAAATTAAAATAATCAGTAATAGGCTATTACTACAGACCCTGAAGACATCCCAAAAATAATAAGGGAATAGCAATACAACTATACACACATCAATTGGACAACTTGAAAAGTGTGGGCAAATTCTTCCAAAACACAAACCACAACTCACCCAAAATGAAATAGATTATTTGAGTAGCCCTATATCTATTAAGGAAAATAAATTTATAACTTAAATATTCCCTCAAAAGCAATCTTCAGGCCCATAGGGTTTCATTGCTAGTATATAGGAAGAAGAAATAAATATTATTTAGGTAGCTCTGTCAATATGAAATATTAAGTATAAACCTAACAAAATATGTTCAGGGTCTATATCCTAAAACTAGAAATCATCAATAGAAGAAATTTTAAAAGACAAAAACAAACAGAGAGATATACTATGTTCTTTGCTTGGATAACTAGGTATCAGTGGCAATTCTTCACATAGTAATATATTGTTAAAAGCCATCTCAATCATTTTTTTCTGAAGCTTTTTTTGTAGAAATTTACAAGATGATTTTTAAAATTTATATAGAAAGTCGATGAACAGAAATGGCCAAAATGATCTGGAAAACACACACACACACAACACACACACACACACACACACACACACAGCTGAAGACTCAAGCTACCTGATTGCAAGACTTACTTGGAAGCTACAGGAAGCAAGACAATGTGATATTGAAGAAAGAATAAGCAGATACACCAATGGAACTGGATAGAGAATGCAGAAATAGATCCGTAGATATATCAAGTAATTTTTTACCAAGGTGCAAACTCATTTACAAGGAGAAATGATAGATTTTTCACCAAATGTTGCTGGAGCTGTTTACATTCATATGCAAACATATTTAAGTGAATCTCAATTCCTACCTTGAACTGTATATAAAAATAAACTCAAAGGTGATTATAGAACAATGTAAGACCTCATATTATACAACTTCTAAAAGAAAATATAGAAGAAAATGCACCCTCCAGTTTGCAGATTTTATAGATACAATAGCAACAGCATTTATATAGTGTACATATGTACCTCATTGACATTAAAATGTTTAGTTCTAGAAAAAAACGGTTAAAGACAATGAAAAGGCAAACTTTACTGGAAGAACACATTTGCAAAACCCACATAAGGCCAAAAAAATAAAAAGCTTGTATTCAGAATATGTGTTTTTAAAGCAAAAGTTAAAAGAAAACTTCCTAATACAAAATGAACAAAATATTTGAATACCAAAATCAATATACAAATGGCAAATAATACATGAAAAATGGTCAACATTACTAGTCATTAGAAATAAGAAAAATGAAAGCTAAAACCAAGAAATACCACTGTACATTTATTAGAATGATAAATTGTAATGGATAGATGAAGATAATTATAGACAGATAGATGAAAGCAGAAAGATAGATGATAGGTAGATAGATAGACAGATAGATAGATAGACAGATAGATAGATAGACAGATAGATTGCTATAACAAGTAACCCCCAAGATGTGGAGCACCTAGAGGTCTATATATTGTTGATGGGAATAAAAAGTGATACAGACTGGAAAATAGTTTGGCAATTGCTTATGAAACATTAGAAACCATTCAATATTCCCACTCACAGATATTTATACAGGAGAAAAATACCCATGTTCACACAATATTTACATAGCAATTGCTATGGTTTGCATGTTTGTCTCCTCCAAACCTCATATTGAAATTTGATCCCTACTATTGAAAATGGGGACTAATGGGAGGTGTTTGGGTTGTGGGGGTGGCTTCCTCTTGAATAGTTTACTGCCCTTCCTTGGGGATGAATCAGCTCTCATTCTGTTAGTTTCCTGAGAGCTGGCTGTTTTAAAGGACCTGGTACTTCCCGCTCTCTGTCTTGCTTCCTCTGTCACCATGAGATCTGCACACGCCACCGCGCTCCCTTTCGCCTTCCGCAGCCTCGAGTGGAAGCAGCCTGAGGCCCTCACCAGATGCAGAAGTCCAATCTTGAACTTTTTAGCCGTCAGAATTGTAAGCCAAATAAACCTTTTTAAAAATAAATAAAGTACCTAGCCTCCATTATTCCTTTAGAGCAACACAAAATAACTGAGAAAAGAATTGTATTCGTCTTCTCAGGCTGCCATAACAAAGTACCACAGACTGGATAGCTCAAACAGCAGTATATTTATTATTAATTTTTTTTTTTTTTACAGTTCTGGAGGCTAGAAGTGCAATATCGAGGTGCTGTCAGGGTTGATTTTTTTTAGTGAGTCCTCTCTTCCTGGCTAGATGGCCTCTCCTCTTGCTGAGAGAGTGCATGTGAGAGACAGAAAGAGAGAGAGAGAGAGACAGAGAGAGATCAAGTGTCTTTTCCTCTCCTTACAAGAGCACTAGTAAAATAATCAAATAACCTGTAACCACCTATATAACCTGGTTCAGCCTTATCTCTTAAAAGCTTCCAACTCTGAACATAGTCACGTTAGGGGTGAAGGCTTCAGCATATGAATTGAGAGAGGAGGACATAATCCACCATAATCCACCACAGGAATGCTGATTACAGAAGCTTTATGCGTAATTTTGTAATAACTAGGAACCGAGTCTTCTTCAACTGGTGAATCAAGTGTGGTACTTTCATACAATGGAGCATTATTCAGTACCACAGAGGAAAGAACCACTGAAATAACATGACAGATCTCAAATGTTATGCTAAGTGAAAACAGTAACAGCAAAATTCAGAAGGTTGTATATAGCAACTCACGGAAATACAGAGTAGAATGGTGGTTCCCAGAGGTGGGACAGTGGACAGGGAAGGGGAGATATTAGTCCAAGGGTGCAAAGTTTTGATTAAACAAGAAGAATAGGTCGGGTGTGGTGGCTCACACCTGTAATCCCAGCACTTTGGGAGGCCGAGGCTGGCGGATCACGAGGTCAGGGGTTTGAGACCAGCCTGGCCAATATGGTGAAACCCTGTCTATACTAAAAATACAAAAATTAGCCAGGCATGGTGGCACGTGCCTGTAGTACTTGGGAGGCTGAGGCAAGAGAATCACTTCAACCCAGAAGGCAGAGGCTGCAGTGAGCCGAGGTCGCACCACTGCACTCCAGCCTGGGTGACAGAGCGAGAGTGTGTCTCAAAAAAAAAAAAAAAAAAAAAAAAACAAGAGAAATAAAAATTTTAGTGACCTATTTCACAGCATGATGACTATAATCAATAATAAAGTCTATTTTAAAATCACTAAAAAAGAAGATTTTTAAATGTTCTCACCACAAATATATAAGTATGAGATAATATATGTAATAATTAGCTTGATTTAATCATTTCACTATATATACATATATAATGATATCTCATTGTACCCCATTCACATATAATATAATTATTGTCTATTAAAATAAGAAAAAGATTTTTTTAAAGGCTATATTTGCCATGATCCACTTTATATGATATTCTGTAAAAGAATTTTTAAAGTTGTAGATATAAAAAGTATGTCAAAAGTTGCCAGGAGCTAGTGTTGGGGAGGCTGGAATTTCTAGGGTGAGGATACTGCTTTATACTTTGGTTTTGGTAGTGGCTTCATAACTCTATAAATTTCTCAAAACTCATAGAGCTGTATCCCCCAAATAGTATTTCTGTGTATATTATAAATAAATAAATTGAAAACTTTAAAAAAATGTGTGTAGTAAACACAAATACACAAAATCAAAACCAACAATTTGATCCAGATGAATTTCCTTGTAGTTCAGTCCATATTTAATATTTATGTAAGAACAATATATTACAGCTGAGTAAAAGCAGTAAAGAGAATGGGAATCTATTGGATTCACACAAACTGTTAAGTACTTAAAATCAATTGTAAAATCTAACCATCCTAAATATCTTATAAATTTGTCTGTTCTTACTTGCATTTAAAAGAAGAGGAAACAATACTGAGAAATTAGTTATGTCAAAAGATCCTGAAGTAGAAACCACCAGAGTGGAGCAAGAAAAAGAAAGGCTTTTCTCCCTGTTTGCAAGAGTTTCAGTCTGAAGATGAGACATTCTGCCTTCTGGCAGTTAGGAGAGGTTTTATGCATTACAAGTACTCAGGCCGATCAAGAGAAAAAAATCGAAAAACAAAGAAACAGGACAATGATGCGTGGTTTAAGGCAAAATTTCAGCGATCAGTTTTCAGAAGCAGAAGCAAGTCTGGCGAAAGTGCATTCTGGGGCTCTAAACTTAACAAAGGAATGGGAAGTTTAAGAATGTCAACGTGATTACACTGGAAATTTGAGGACTGAGCATGAAAAATTAGGCTGGGGCTTACCCTTGTTAGTGTAGGCCTTTTAACCCTTTGCAGTTAACATCTGTAATATACAGTTAAAAATAAAGCTAGTATAGGTATGGCGCTTCTGGTATTTGTACCCAGCTTAGAACAATTCAAATATACCCTGTACATCTCACCATGATGTCACTTAAACTCTAATATTTAAAAAAACAGTAAAAATTATTTACAGAAACAAAATTATCACTAACTTATATAACTCTATGTGAATTCACTGCCTCATGTTGAAATTGGAATTACTATTGTTGTTAATTTCCTGAGTATCTAATTTTACTTGGATTTAGTGTTCTCATTGAAGGCATTCGGAACTTAGGTTTAGACAACAGTTTTGTGTAGACCAGAGGTTGGTTAAGTATGGCAAGGGCCAAATCTGTTTATCACCTGTTTTTATAAATGAAGTGTTATTAAAGCAAGCCACACACAAGTATTCACATGTTGCTATGGTTGCTTTTGTGCTACCATGGCTGAGTTGAGTAGTTGCAACGAGACAATATGGCCTGCAATGTCTACAATATTCACTCTTATGCCATTTACAGAAAGAGTTTGCCAAACCCTGGGGTAGACTAAAGGGATATTGTTCTTATTACTCAAAACTTCATAATAAACCACTGAAAGTTTAATATATTAGAATAACAACCATTTATTGTATTTTATAATTTCCTGGGTCAGAAATTCCCATTGGGTTCAGTTGGCTGAATCTTCTGCTTCATGTGATGTTGACTGAGTCACTGGGCATTTAGCTGAAGACAGGTCTGCAGGACCCGGGACGTTTCCCACATGCCTGCCCTGTGAGGGGCAGTTGAAAGGCTGTATTCATCTGGGCTCCTCTCTGTCTTCCGGTATTCAGATGCATTCTTTAGCAGGATGATTAGACGTCTTACATGGTGGCTTGGCACCCTTAGAGAGCAAGACAGAAACTCCCAGTTCTCTTAAATAAGGGTAGCAGAACTGACCATAGTATTATTTCTACAGTGTGTGACATTTGTCCAACAGTCACAGGTCAGTTCTGGTTGGAACAAAGGTAGAATAGATCTGTATCTTAAAAGGAAGCGTGTCCAGGAAACTGCAGCTATCTTTAATCCACCATTAAATTGATGCTAAATATTTCATTGTAATATTTGCTTTTAGGAAGTGAGAACAAACCAGAAAAAGTTTCTGATCTAATTTGAAAAACAGTATAATAGCTAAAAAAAATCAGCTAGAAAAATCAAAAGCTAATGGTAATAAAACACTGGATTTCCAAAATTTCCATACTTCTAGCATTATTAAAGTAACATGAAAAAACTGTTCACCACATTATTTAAATACTTAATATTTTTTATTTATTTTACCAAGAATATTTCATTATATATTTTACTGTGAAACACTTGAATCAAAGCTCATTCTGTTAAGATTTTTTGAACATATATGTTGTGATTATTGCAACATGCTGGGTGCTTCAAACACTAGAAGAGTACACTGTATAAAGGGCTGTGGGAATTGCCAAATTCGTCTTTACTGCTTGTTATATTTGGTATTGGCATTGGGCTTAGAACAGAAGGTAACTAAATCCATGTGTTTGCTTTAAAATTATTTCCTTCTTTTTCTTCACAGTGAAATGAAAACAACTATATTCCTGTCTCCTTAATCTTTAATATGGGGCAAAACTTATGCTAATCTTTCTGATGCATCTGTATACTTTCAAAAGGAAAAAAAAAAACCCTAGAATTAAACGTTGCTAAGACACAAACTCCACATTTCTTTTTAGTAGTGCCCATACTCTATATCCTGAGTCATGTCATAAACATGGCATTGAAAGAATTAAATAATGTGGAGACATTGAGTGATGTGTTGAGAAATAATGTAGCACAGCTTCTACAAGCCTTAATGAGGCTATCGGTGCACATTCCTGGGGTGGCTTGCTGAAAATGTACTGCTCTATGTCTGTAGCACTGTCCTTTTCATATAAAGTAGAAGCAAATGAAGAGTTGCTGCTCCATAAAGCTTAATATCCAAGTAAGGCAATCCCAGGTCTATTTCAGACCTTACATTCAAGGTGATCTCTGGGAATTGTTGATTGAATAACTATGGCATGTTGTTCATCATTTTTATTAATAATGGAGAAGTTACCTACGTGGCATCAGTAGTTTTAAGTTGTAAGTTGCATTAAAACAGTATGTTTTAAAATAACCATAAAATTTTGTTATGTACTCGTTCAAATTATTTTCTGAAATGTGATTTTTCCTCTCATTATTCATAAACACTGACATCAACAAATTTGAAGGGTCTTTGCATTATTCCTTTAAAACAGTGAAATGTCCCCTCTAAAATTCATGTTTAAACAATTTCCAATGTGGCAGTATGGAGAGGTAGGTCCGCTAAGAGATAATTGGATGATGAGGCTTCTGCCCTTGTGAATAGATTAACCCATTTATGGATTAATCAGTTAGTGGATTAATGGACTGTCATGGGGCGGAAACTGGTGGCTTTATAAGAAAAGGAAGAGAGCACATTGATACATGAGCACACTCAGCCCCCTCATGTGATGCTCTGCACCACCTCAGGATTCTGGAAAGAGTGCCCACCAGCAAGAAAACACTCATCAGATTCAGCCCCTTGACTTTGAACTTCCCAGCCTCCAGAAGAGAAA
This sequence comes from Homo sapiens, assembly GCF_000001405.40. Taxonomy (NCBI): domain Eukaryota; kingdom Metazoa; phylum Chordata; class Mammalia; order Primates; family Hominidae; genus Homo; species Homo sapiens. The sequence goes on along the minus strand of NC_000004.12, from coordinate 179,581,563 downwards.
AAAATAAATTTTCTATCCTTATAAGTTACTTGGTTTCAGGTATTCTGTTGTAAGCAACAGGAAGTGAGCTAAGACAGAGGATAACAGCCGGGCACAGTGGCTTACACCTGTAATCCCAGCACTTTGGGAGGCTGAGGCAGGCAAATCCCCTGAGGTCAGGAGTTCAAGGCCAGCCTAGCCAACATGGAGAAACCCTGTCTCTACTAAAAATACAAAAATTAGCCAGGTGTGGTGGCACCTGCCCGTAATCCCAGCTACTTAGGAGGCGAGGCAGGAGAATCGCTTGAACCTGGGAGGTTGAAGTTGCAGTGACCCGAGATCATGCCACTGCACTGCTGCCTGGACAACAAAGTGAGACTCTGTCTTTAAAAAGAAATAATAAATAAAAAAAAAATAAAAATAAAAAGACAGAAGATAACAATACATTTATGCAATCTGTCATAGCAGTCTTTGGTGCCAGCTAAATTTTCTCCGTAGTTCTTATTTGAGCTAATTTTATATAGAAATATTTCAGAAGAACATGAGTTTTTTTTCAAGAAAATGATACTGTATATTCAATATATAGCTGTTAAATATCTAAATATATCATTTCTTTATGTGCAGTTTCTTTGATATATTTACTAAGGATATGTGAAGAAAATGAAAAAAATAATTATACCATGTATATTGGGTAGACATAATGGCTATGGAATAAAACAGCATGCTGAGGGGAAAGTATAATGATTATGAAGGCATTCCTAGGGAAGGGGGATGGTTATGTATGAACAGAATGCAGAATAAAGTGAGAAAAGTCCATGGAAAAATCTCATGTAAGTGTACTGCAGACAGAGGAAAGAACAGGTACAAATTCCTGAAATAAGCATAAGCATGACTTCAAGGAAGGCCACTAAGACTAAATAAGAGGACATAAATTGGGATTGATGGAAATGTTCATGGCAAAATACACAGATATCAGGTATTGTTTCATGCCTGATACCTTGTACAAGTTACTCTAAAATTTTAGTTGCCTAAAAAACCACCATTTATTATTTTATGTGGGTCTTTGGGCCTAATTCAATCCATCTCTGCTGGGCTTGATTACACATCTACTGTCACGTGGTGGTAACTCAGCTAGGGGACAGTTTAGGATGGCCTCCAATGGGATGGCTCTTCTATGCCATGTGGTTTCTCATCCTGCAGTACATAGCTCAGGTCTGTACTTGTAACAGAGGTAAGGGTCCAAAAGACAGTAAAACATGCAAGACTTCTCGTATTCTAGGTGTGAAACTGAGAGTCCATTCTGCTGCCTGCCTTATATTGAGGGAAGCAGGTCATAAGTTCAACCCAGTTTTTATGGGGTAAAGAAACAGACTCCATATTTTATTATTGGGAAGATTTGCAAAATCTATTGCAAAGGAAGAGCTAAAGTGCTGAAAATATTTGGGCAACCAATCTACCAAAGGAGGAGCCGATTCATTAAGATCTTACATATCATGAGATGAATTATTTTTTAAATTCTGTACATAATGAGAAATTATTATGGTTTTGAATAAACCAAGGAATAATTTCATTTCTGTTTTAGAAAAGTTACTCTTTTGTATTGGGAGAGAATGTAATGTGAGGTGAGGTGTTAGCAGGGGAAAGGAGAAGAGAAATGAGGCTGTCTTAGTAGGCTTCGTGAAAAAAAATGATAGCATAAACTGGTGGTAGTAGTGAAGATAATAAACTGTTTTAATTTGGGTTGTGTGTTGATATTAGTGAATGTGATTTGTTGAATAATTGTGAGAGAATTAGTAGCCAAAATTTTATTCCAGGTTTGTAGATTGAAAAATTTATTTATTTGCCATTTGAGATATGATTGACATATAAAAAAGGTGTGTATATTTCATAGCTACATGTTAATGAGTCTGGGTTAAGTTTACATGTGTGAAACCATCACCACTATCAAGGCCATAAACATGTCCATCTCCTTCCACAATATTCTCTCACCTATTTTATTATTATTATCATTATTATTATTATTAGGGTTTTGTTGTTGTTAAAACGCTTAACATAAGATCTATCCTCTTAGCAAATTTTGAGTATGCAATACAGTATTGTTACTTCTGGCACTATGCTTTATAGAAGATCTTTATAGAAGATCCTCAGAACTTATTTCTCTTGCCTGACTAAAACGTTTAACCATCACCTCCCAATTCCTTCTCTGTCAGCCCCCAGCAACCACAATTTACTCTCTGCTTCCGTGAGTTGACTATTTTAGTTTCCACATGTAAGTATTTGTCTTTCTGTGTCTGGATTATTTCATTTAATATTATGTCCTTCAGGTCCATCCATGTTGTTGCAAATGGCAGAACTTCTTTCCGTTTTAAGGCTAATATTCCATTCGTGTGTGTGTGTGTGTGTGTGTGTGTGTTTCATGTTTTCTTACCCATTCATTCATTGATGGACAGTTAAATTGTTTCCGTATGTTGTCTATTGAAGATTGTTGCAATGGGAGTGCAGATATCTCCTTGAGCTCCTGATTATCCTTTGGATAATCAGACATGAGATTGCTGAGTTATATCATAGTTCTATTTTTTGATTTTTTGAGGATCCTCTATACTGTTTTCCATAATGACCATACCATTTTACATTCCCACCAATGGTGTACAAGGGTTTCCTTTTCTTTAACCCGCACTGACACTCATCTGTTGTGTTTTTTGATAATAGCCACCTAACTGGTATAAGGCAATATCTTATCGTGGGTTTGATTTTCCATTCTCTAATGCACAGTTGTTAAGCATCTTTTTATGTACTTGCTGGCCATTTGTATGTCTTTTTTGAAAAAAATTTACTGACTATTCTGTTTTTGTTCATTTTTAAATTGGGTTATTTTCTATTTGGTTGCATGAGTTCCTTGTATATTTTGCATAGTAATCCCTTACCAGTATTAATATCCACAATGTATTCTCTCATTCAATAGGTTTTCTCTTCAATCTGTTGTTTTCTTTGCTGTGCAAAAGCTTTCTAGTGTGATATAAGTCCGACTTGTTTATTTTTGCTTTTGTTGCCTGTGCTTTTGGTGTCATATTAAAAAAAATTGCAAGGCCAATACCAAGGAGCTTTTCCCTTTATATATTTTTCTATGAGTTTTAAGGTTTTAGGTTGACATTTGAATCTTCAATCCATTTTGCATTGATTTTTGTGTATTGTGTAAAATAAGGATCCGATTTCCTTCTTTTGCATGTTGATATCTAGTTTATTCAACACCGCTTATTGAACAGGCAATCCTTTCCCCATTGTGAATTCTTGGCACTCTTGTTGAGGATAGACAGAGTTCACTAGATAGTGTGTGGGTTCCCTCTTCTGTTTCATTGCTCTAAGTTCCTATTTTAATGCCAGTACAATACTGTTTGAATTAGCATAGCTTTGTAATATATTTTGAAGTCAGTTTGTGTAATTCATCTAGTTTTGCTCCTTCTGAAGATTGCTTTGAAAATTCAGACAGAGTCTTACGTGGTTCCACATGAATTTTATTTTATTTTTTCTATTTCTGTAAAATAATGTCATTAGAATTTTATAGGGATTATATTGCATCTGTAGTTCCCTTTGACTAGTGTGAACATGCTAACAATATTAGTTTTTTAACCTATTAATATCTGGGTATTTTTCTATTTATTTAGAAAGTTACTTTAATTAGTTTCATCAATGTATAGATGTATAGATCTTTCACCTCCTTGTTTAAATTCATTTTATTTTCTTCTTTTAGGTGCTACTGTATTTTATCCTTTTAGGTGTTATTTTAAATGAAATTGCTTTTTTCTTTTTCAAAAAGGTCCTTTAAGTGTGTAGAAATGTAACTAATTTTTTCATATTGCTTTTGTATACCACAATTTTATTGACTTATTTCTTTACTGAATTTTTTAATATCTATTCTAATAGATTTTTGGTGGCATCTTATTCTAAATGCATAAGATTACATCATCTTCTAACAAGGACAATTTTAACTTTTCCTTTATGACCTATATATCTTTATTTCAGTTTCTTTCCTACTTGCTCTAGTTAGGACTTTTAATACTATGTTGAGTAGAGGTAGTGAGAGTGGTCATCCTTGTCTCGTTCCTAATATTAGATAAAAAGTTCTCAGCCTTTCATCATTGAGTATGATGTTAGCTGTGGGCTTATCATATAAGACCTTTACAACAACATGCTGATGTACATTCTTTCAGTACATTATTTATTGAGAGTTTTTAATCATTAAACAGTTTCAAATTCTGTCAGATGCTTTTTCTGTATCTATTGAGACGATCAAATGATTTTATCCTTCATTCTGTTAATGTGGTATGTCGAATTCATTGATTTGCATATGTTGAACCATTCTTGCATCTCAGAGATAAATTTTATTTGATCATGGTGTGTGACCTTTTTAGTGTTCTATTATATTTGATTTTTAGTATTTTTTGAGGATTTTTAAAATCTATGTTCATCAAGGATAATGGCCTGTAATTTTTCATTTATTTATTTATTTTGTAATGTCCTTGTTTGGCTTTGGTATTAAGGTAATGCTGACCTATAGAATAAGCTTGAAAACATTCCTCCTGCTTAAAATTTTTGGAAGAGTTTGAGAAGAATTGGTATTAGTTCTTCTTTAAATGTTTGGTAAAATTCAGCTGTGAAGACATCATATCTTAGTTTGTTGTTGTTATTGCTGTTGTTACTGGAATATTTTTGATTACTGAGTCAATCTCATCACTCATTAATAATCTGTTTAGATTTAGTATTACTTCATGGTTCAGTCTTGATAGGTGGTATGTCTATAGCAACTTACTCATTTCTTTTAGGTTATCCAATTTATTGGCATAAAATTTTTCTCTTATGATCCTTTGAGTTGGTGAAGTATCAGTTGTAATGTCTCTTATTTCATTTATAATTTTATTTGAGTCTTCTCTTTTTCTAAGTTTATCTAACTAAAATTTTGTCAATTTTATCTTTTTTAAAAAAACAACTCAGTTTATTTATTTCCATTTTGTTTCTAGTGTCTATTTGATTGATTTCTGCTCTAACGTTTACTATTTTCTTCCATCTGATATTCTTTTTTTTTAGTTCTTTGAAGAGTAAATTTAAGATCTTTTTTGTCTTAATGTAGGTATTTATAAATTTCCCTCCTAGAACTGCTCTTGCTGCATCTCATAAATTTTAATATATTGTATTTTCTATTTAGTTTGTTCCAATATATTTTTAATTTATATTTTTATTTTTCTTTGACCAATTGTTTAGGAGTGAATTGCTTGATTACCACATAATTGTAAATTTTCCTGTTTCCTCCTGTTATTGATTTCCAGTTTCATACCTTGGTAGTTAAAAAATAACTTTTTATGATTTCAAGATACTTAAATGTGTTAAGACTTGTTTTCTGGCCTAACATATGATCTGTTCTGGAGAATTTTCATGTACACTTGAAAACAATGTATACTCTACTGATGTTAAATAGAATATTTCAAATTTGTCTAGTAGGTACATTTGGTCTATATTGTTGTTCAAGTTCACTATTTCCTGATTGAATTTCTGTCTGAATAATATATTGCTGAAAGTAAGGTATTGTAAGTTATTGTCATCCTCTACTATCATTGTACTGCTCTTGATTTCTCCCTTCAGTTCTGTCACTATTTTCTTTTTATAATAAGGTGCTCTATGGTTGGGTGCACATATGTTTACAATTGTTATATCCTCTTGATAAATTGATCTTTCTGTCATAACATAATGACTTTGTCTCTTGTAACAGCTTTTGATTTAAATTTTTTTGTCAGAAAAGTATAACTACTCATTTTTGCTTTTGGATACCATTTCAATGGAGTATCTTTTTGCACCCCATCACTTTCAGCCTATGTATATTCTTAAATCTAAAGTGAGTCACATATGTAGCATATGGATCTTATATTTAATCTATTCAGTTATTCTATATATTTTTATTAGACAATGTAGTCTATTTATAATAAAGTTATTGATAGTAGAGTTACTATTGCCATTTTATTAATTGTTTCTCATGCTTTTGTAGTTATTTTGTTCTTTTCTTCCCCTCTTGCTAGCTTCCTTTGTGATTTGATAATTTTTTTGGTTGTGGTATGCTTTAATTTTTCTTCATCTTTTGTGTATCTGCCAAAGATTTTTTATTTATAATTACCATGCACCTTACACTAAAATCTTATAATACCATTTTAAGCTGGTAACTTAATTGGATACAAAACTTCACACTTACATGTTTTTCTACCTCATTATTCATTATCAGTATCACAGTTGACATCTTTTTGTGTTGTGTATCCATTAACAATTTATTGTTGTCATATTTTTTATACTTTTGTCTTATAATTTATATACTAGAATTGAAAGTATGTACCACCATTGCACAATTAGAGCATTCTGAATTTGACTATATACTTACCTTTACCCGTGAGTTTTATACTTTACATTTTCATATTGCTAATGGGCATTCTTTTATTTCAACTTAAAGAACTCCATTTAGCATTTTTTTTTGTAAAGCAGGTGTAGTGGTAATGAACTTCCCCAGCTTTCATTTATTTTGGAAAGTTTTTTTAATCTCATCTTCATTTTTTAAAGACAACTTTGCCAGGTATAGTATTCTTGGTTGCTGTTTTGTCTTTTTTTTTCTCCTTTCAGCTGATTGAATTTGTCATCCCACTGACTCCTGGCATGCATGGTTTCTACTGGGAAACCTACTGATAGTGAAGGTTTTCTTGCATATGATGATTCACTTTTCTTTTGATGTTTTAAAAACTATCTTTGTGTTTGACTTAGACATATTGCTTATGTGTCTTGGTGAAGACCTCTTTATGCTCAATCTATCTGGACTTCCTTAGGCTATATATCTAAATGTTCATTTCCCTCTCTAGATTTCAGATTTTGGTCATTATTTATTTAGATAAGCTTTCCACATCTTTTTCTCTTCTCCTACCAAGACTCATATAATATGTATATTGGTTCACTTTATTTTGCTCCATAATCCCAGTAGGCTTTCTTTTTTATCTGTCTTTTTTCCTTTGCTTTCTTCTAACTAAATCATTTCAAAAGATCTGTATTAAAGTTTGATTTTTTTCTTCAGCTTCCTTGAGTCTGTTTTGAAGATCTTTTTCATGTTTCAGGTCAGACATTGTATTTTTCAAACCTAGAATTTCTGTTTGGTTCTTTTAATGATTTATATCTCTTTGATGAATTTCTCATTTTGTGAATTTTCCCATTCAGTATGTGTTTTCCTGAATATATTTAATAGTCTGAGTTCTTTCCTGGTTCACTGAGTTTAAGATTATTATTTTGAATTATTTGTCAATTAATATATCTCATTTCTTTGGAGTTTTATAGTTTTATTTTGTTCCTTCAGTAGTGTCATATCTCATTGATTCTTTGTGTTCCACAAATTGTTACATTACTGTCTTTACATTTGAAACATCAGTCATCCAGGCATCTTATATTTCTGTCTTCACTAACTGGCTTAATGAGAGAATGACCTTCACCGGTGAGCCCAGCTAGACATTCTTGGGTCTCTCATACATTTACTATTGATGCACCCACCCCACTTTTCTTTGACCTCTTTTAGGGGCAAAGTCAGGATTGTGTGCCTTCATTCAGCCTCACAAAGCCAAGACTAGTGCTGATAACTTCTTGTTTATTTTCGTTATGGCAGTGCTCTGAAGTTTTCAAGGTTGTGAGCCTTCTTCCAAACCAGCAAAGTTGAGCTGGTTGCAACAATATACACCTGCTGTTGAAATCTACGTGTTGTCTTCAGAAGCTCACATGGTTCACACATGGGATGCCCATGGTGCAACCCACTAGAGGTTCAGGGCAGATCATCTGGCTGTGGCCAAGGGATCTTCAGGCAGGGCATCCTGTGGGGTTCACAGATGGACCTCTTGATGGACTCCACAAGCCCGTTGGTAGGATTGGCACAGATTGAGAACCGTGTGGCAGTTGCTGTGCATTCTTTCCCCTTCTCACTGCTCTTAGTTGTCCCCAGATGATTCAGCCATGCTGTTCCTCTTAGCGTTTTGCGTCCCACAAGACCTACCTGAAACATTGAGAAGTGGGCATCCCAAGAAGCATCCAACAAGGCTGGGAAGCCAGGTGTTCACTTTGATTCCTTTTTAATGTGGGAGAAATTGTGGGCTGAGGGAACCTCTCTCAGCACTGAGCTGTGCTATCTTAGGATAGAGGTGACAACGGTTAAGTGAAACTAGTTTTCTTAACTTCTCCAGTGAATCCATTCTTGAATTTTTGGTCCCACGGAGGTGCTGGAACCTCTCAACTAGACCCTGTGGCTTCCATAAAGATATTCATGTCTGTGGATGGTTGCCAATACTGGGAGCATGAAGGCTAGAGCCTCCAATTCTGCCAATTCCTGATGTCCCTCAAAAGCAGATGCTAGAAATGTTTTAGAGTGTTTTTTTTTTTTCAATTTGGACACTTACATTTCTTAATTATAACAATTTTGCTGCTTGATCAATGTGCTGACTCTAATTGAGTTAATTATGCTTGTGAAGGATAAATGCCTCAATTTTTAGAAAACTGTGTTTTAGAGAAATATTTTGATAATTTTGAGATAACTGGGTTTAGGGAAACATACATTTTAATTATGACACTTGTTATCTTTTATATTTATGTTAAGGTGAAGAAATACAATATGAAAAATAAAAACTTCAGGAATATCAGTTCTAAAGTTGTTTTTTTAAATCTCAAGATCCTTACTCCTTTAAAAATTGAGGTGCTTTAAAGATTTTTTGTTTATATTGACTATATCAAGATTTACTGTAATAGATTTTAACACTTAGAATGTTTAGAATATTCATTTATTAATTCATTCAATAGTAATAATACAAATCATATTAACCTTAAGGTGTATATTTATTTTTAAAATAAATACAATTATTAAATTTCTAAAAAATTAATGAGAAATACTGTGGTGCATTATATCTTTGAAAATCTCTTCAATGTTCACCTTAATAGAAAGATAACTAATTTATCTCTCCTAGTTGCACATTCAATTTATTGTAACATGTTATTTGGATTTAAGTATATAAAGTTGAAAAGGGAGGATATTGAAGACCTCTGACAGCATTTGCTGGATTTGTAGAACTTTTCAGCAACTAATTTGAGAACTGCTGTTCTAGAATCACTGCTCTAGGGAATTTGGTTAGCGACCCAAGTTTTGTGAGGATACTTTACTTTTACCAGAGACCTTAAATACAGAGCACCTGTTATTTTTGTCCTCAGGGCACACTTATTGCTATTGTAATGAAAAAGGGGTATTTGAGGGCTGGCATTGCACGTGTTAACTTTTTTTTGACATGCACTTTGTATCCCAGGTGAATTTATTCTTAATTTATCAAATACCCTTATGTTATTATGAACTTTTATGTTGATACCCATGTCAGTTTGCTAGAGCTAAAATTCCAGAGACTGGATGCTTTAACAACAGAAATTAATTTTCTCACAGTTCTGGGGGCTGTGAAGTCCAAAATGAAAGTGTCAAGAGGTTTGGTGTCTTCTGAGGTCTCTCCCTTTGGCTTGCAGATGGCCACATTTATACTGTGTCCTCACATTGTGTTTTCTCTATTCATGCACATCCTGATGTTTCTTCATGTGTCAAATTTTTCTCTTCCGTAAGGATACCAGTCAGACTTTATAGGTAACACCCTAATGGTTTTCTTTTAACCTAATCACCCAATTTAAAAAAAAACTCATCACCAGATCACGAGGTCAGGAGATCGGGACCATCCTGGCTAACATGGTGAAACCCCATCTCTACTAAAAATACAAAAAATTAGTCAGGCGTGGTGGCAGGCACCTGTAGTCCCAGCTACTGACGAGGCTGAGGCAGGAGAATGGCATGAACCAGGGAGGCGGAGCTTTCGATGAGCCAAAATTGCACCACTGCACTCCAGCCTGGGGGACAGAGCGACACTCTGTCTCAAAAAAAACAAAAAACAAAAAACAAAAGAAAAAACTCATCACCAAATACTATCACATACTGGAGGACACCATTCAGCCCAAACAATACCTCATCTTCAATCTCCACATGGTTCTTACCCAGATACCTCTATCATAATATTTAATACTTTATTAGTTTAGAAGTACAAAGAAATAGGAATAAAAGAGCGATTATTCTAGATTTTGTACCAGCAAAAACTATAGTCTCGCAGATATTTTATGCAACTACAGTTGCCCCTTGAACAACACAGGTTTGAATTGTGTGGGCCTACATATACACACGGAATTTTCTTTTTTTTTTTTAAGAAAGGATCTTGTTTATATATTACAATGAAAGTGAGCATCACAGAAAAATGCATATTTGATCTGATTTTATATAATTCATAGGCACCAAAGATACCATATACTGAACATATAACTGAAAATTTAAAAAGTAGCATTAGTTGCTGTCTTTCTTTTTTTTTAATTTTATTATTATTTTACTTTAAGTTTTAGGGTACATGTGCACAATGTGCAGATTAGTTACATATGTATACATGTGCCATGCTGGTGTGCTGCACCCACTAACTCATCATTTAGCATTAGGTATATCTCCTAATGCTATCCCTCCCCTCTCCCCCCACCCCACAACAGTCCCCAGAGTGTGACGTTCCCCTTCCTGTGTCCATGTGTTCTTATTGTTCAATTCCCACCTATGAGTGAGAATATGCGGTGTTTGGTTTTTTGTTCTGGTGATAGTTTACTGAGAATGATGATTTCCAATTTCATCCATGTCCCTACAAAGGACATGAACTCATCATTTTTTATGGCTGCATAGTATTCCACGGTGTATATGTGCCATATTTTCTTAATCCAGTACACAGAATTTTCTTTAATAACCATTACACTGAGTGTATCTACCACTCTTGCCTTCACTTTCACCTCCCCTACCTCTTCTGCCTCTGCCATCCCATAGACAGCAGAACAAACTCTCCCTCCTTGTCCTCTTCCTCAGTCTACCCAACATGAAGATGACAGGGATAAATACCTTTATAGTGATTTGCTTCTACATAATAAATAGAAATATATTTTCACTTTCTTATGATTTTCTTAATATTTTCTTTTCTCTAGCTTACTTTATTATAAAGAATACAGTATATAATACATATACAAAGTCTGTGTTAATTTACTGTTATCAGTTAGGCTTCTGGTTAGCAGTAGACTACTAATAGTTAACTTTTTAGGGGGCCAAAAGTTATACACAGACTTTTGGCTGTGTAGGTGGTCAGTGCCCCTAATCTTTGTATTGTTCAAGGGTCAACTGTAAAGCATGACTTTTGACTAAATAAAGCTAAATTTTTGAAATGATAACAAAGCAGCAAGCATTTAGTAAGAAAATAATTCTAGAAAGAAGATGGCAAAATAGAATCATCCAGCAGTTGTTCCCCTGCAGGAACACAAAATTGAACAACTATGTATGCAAGAAATTACCTTCAAAAGAACCAGAAAATCAGGTGAGCGATTACAGTACCTAGTTTTAACATAGTATCAAAAAAAGAGGCATTGAAGTGGGTAGAAAATACATTCTTGCATTGTCTACAGCATCCCTCCCCCAGTAATCAATCCTGGAGTGACAGAGATAAAAAGATAAAAGAAAATCTTTAGCCAAATTAAATTTAAGGGAGCTTAATTTTGCAATGAGTGATTTGCAGATTTGGTGGCCTTCTGAGCCAGGGTAGTCTCAGAGACTTTAGCACAGCCATTTGGTGGAAGAAGATTTATGGACCGAAAAAGGAAAGTGATATCCAAAAAATGGAAGTGATGTACAGAAACAGCTGAATTGGTTACAGCTCAGTTTTTGCCTTATTTGAATATGTTTCAAACAGTTGGCTACATTTGACTGGCCGAAACTCAGTCATTTCTGGAGGTGTCAGCTTTGGTCTGTTTACACCTCCACTTGTTAATAATAAATTTCAAGATAACATAGATAAGGAATTCAGAATTATATCAGATAAATTTAATAGATATTGAAATAATAAAAATCAATCAGAAGATCTGTAGTTGAAAAATTCAATCAATAAACTGAAAAATGCATCAGCATCTCTCAACAGTAGAATTGATCAAGCAGAAATAGAATTTGTTAGCTTGAAGAAGGCTATATGAAAATACACAGAAGAGAAAAAAGAAAAACAATTAAAAACATGAGCATGCCTACAATATCTAGAAAACAGCCACAAAAGGGCAAATCTAAGAATTATTGGCCTTAAAGAGGACATAGAGATTGGAGAAGAAAGTTTATTCAAAGAAATAAAAACATAATTTTCCAAACCTAGAGAAACGTATGAATATTCAGGTACAGAAAGTCATAGAACAGAAAGTAGGGTCAACCAAAATGAGATTACCTCAAGGCATATATTATTCAGACTCTCAAAGGCCAAGGATAAAGAAAGATCCTAAAAGTGACAGCACAAAGAAGTAAATAAATATAAAGGAGCTCTGATGCATCTGGCAGCAGACTTCTCAACAAAAACTTTACTGTCCAGGAGAGAGTAGAATAACATTCAAAGTGCTGAAGGAAACACACACACACAATAAAGTTCAACTTAGAATATTGTGTTAGAATATTGTGTTAAGGGAGGAGACTACCCCTCATATTGTCTTATGCCCAATTTCTGCCTCCAAAGAAAGAAAAAGTAAAAACTAAAAGGCAGAAATTAAATCCACAGGCAGACAGCCCGGCGCCACACCCTGCACCTGGTAATTAAAGGTCGACCCCTGACCTAATTGGTTATGTTATCTATAGATTACAGACATTGTATAGAAAAGCACTGTGAAAATCCCTGTCCTGTTCTGTTCCATTTTAATTACTGGTGCATGCAGCCCCCAGTCTCATACCCCCTGCTTGCTCAATCCATCACGACCCTCTCATGCAAACCCCCTTAGAGTTCTAAGCCCTTAAAAGGGATAGGAATTGCTCACTCGGGGAGCTCGGTTTTTGGAGTTGTGAGTCTTGCTGAAGCTCCTGGTGGAATAAAGCCCTTCCTTCTTTAACTCAGTGTCTGAGGAGTTTTGTCTGTGGCTTGTCCTGCTACAGTGTCAAGCAACACTTTCCTTCAAACACTAAGGAGTAACATTTTCCCAGACAAAATAAGTTGAAGGATTTCATTAACACTAGACCAGTCCTCTAAGAAATGCTGAAGTGAGTTCTTCAGTATCAGAAAAAAGGATGTTAACAAACAACAAGAAATCATCTGAAGGTATAGAATTCACAAGTAATAGTAAGTACACAAATACAAAATACTCTAACACTGTCATTTTGGAGTATAAAACACTCATATCTTTAGTAGGAAGACTAAAAGGCAAACTTACCAATGATAACTACAACTTTTTAAGAAATAGCAAAAAACAATGTAACTAGAACAAAAAGTCAAAAAGTGAGGACAGGGATGGAGATAAAATGTAGAGGGTTTTTGTTTGTTTGTTTTCTCTTTACTTGTCTTTGTTATTTTCATTGTAATCAAACTTAAGTTACCATTCTAATTGGTTATAAGATGCTATTTGCAAGTCTCGCAGCAACCACAAAATGAAAAACAATAACAGATACACAAAAGATAAAAGCAGAAAATTAAAACATACTACCAGACAAAAACCATTATTATGATAGACAGGAAGGAAAGAAAAAAGAAACAAAGAGAGGACCAAGAAACCCACTAGAAAACAAATAACAAAATGGCAATATTAATAGTAAGTCCTTTCCTGTGAATAATAACATTGAACGTAAATGGACTAATTTTCCAATCAAAAGACAGCATGGCTAACTGGATTTAAAAAAAAAAAGACCCAACTAAATGGTGTCTGTATGAATCTTGATCTATAAAGATATATATAGACTAAAAATAAAGAAAAAAATCATGCAAATGGAAACAGAAAAAGAGCTGGAGTAGCTATGCTTATATCAGATGTAATAGATCAAGACAAAAATTTTAATGTGACAAAGAATGTCATTATATATAATAAAGCAATAACTTCAGTAAGAGAGTGTAACAATTGTAAATATCCATGCACCCAAAACTGTAGCACTCAGAGAGATAAAGCAAATATTATTAGACACTTAAGAGAGAGATAGATTCCAATTTGGTTAAAGCTGGAGACTTCAACATGCTACCCCACTTTTGGCATTGGACAGCTCATCTAGATAAAAAAATCAACAAAGAAATAATGAACTTAATCTGTACTATAGACTAAATGTACCTAATAGATATTTACAGAACATTTCACTCAACGGTTGCAGAATACACATTTTTCTCTTCAGCACATGGAAAATTCTCAAGGATAGACCATATTTTAGGCCACAAAACAATTCTCAAAAATTCTGAAAAACAGAAATCATATCAAGTATTTTTTCTGACTACAATATAACTAGAAATTAAAAATGAGCAATTTCAGAAACTATACCAACACATAGAAATTAAGCAATGTGCTCCTGAATGACCATTGACCAAAGGTCAAATAAAAGAAGAAAATTAAAATACATCTTAAAACAAATAAAAATGGAAACACAACATATCGCAATCTATGGGGCACAGCCAAAGCAGTGCAAAGAGGGAAATTTATAGCAATAACTGCCTACATCAGAAAAGTAGAAAAACTTCAAATAAACAACAGAATGATGAATCCTAAAGAACCAGAAAAGCAAGAGCAAGCGAAACCCAAAATTAATAGAAAAAAATAAAGATCAGAACATAAATAAAATTGAGACTCAAAAAAACACAAAAGGTTGGCCGGGCGTGGTGGCTCACACTTGTAATTCCAGCACTTTGAGAGGCCAAGGCGGGTGGATCACAAGGTCAGGAGATCGAGACCATCCTGGCTAACATGGTGAAACCCCGTCTCTACTAAAAAAAATACAAAAAATCAGCCGGGCATGGTGGCGGGTGCCTGAAGTCCCAGCTACTTGGGAGGCTGAGGCAGGAGAATGGCGTGAAACCGGGAGGCAGAGATTGCAGTGCAGTGAGCCGAGGCCACTGCACTCCAGCCTGGGCGACAGAGCGAGACTCTGTTATCCAAAAAAAAAAAAAGGTCAAAATGAAAGTTAGTTTTTTGAAAAGGTAAACAAAATTGATAAACCTTTAGCCAGACTGAGAATAAAAGAGAAAAGGCCCAAATCAAACCAGAGATGAAAAAGGAGACATTACAACTGATACCACAATTCAAAGGATCATTAGAGACTATTATGAGCAACTGTATGCCAATAAACTGGAAAACCTAGAAGAAATGGGTAAATTTCTAGACATATACCACCTACCACAATTGAACTATGAGGAAACCCAAAACCTGAATTGAACAATACCAAGATAAAAAACTGAATTGACCAATATCAAGATAAGAAAAAAAAAAAAGGTTTTCCTCAAACAAAAGCTGAGAACCCAATGGCTTTATTACTAAATTCTACCAAACATCAAAAGAGTAGCTAATAGAAATTCCACTAA
The DNA here is from genome assembly GCF_000001405.40 of Homo sapiens. Lineage (NCBI taxonomy): Eukaryota > Metazoa > Chordata > Mammalia > Primates > Hominidae > Homo > Homo sapiens. The sequence continues at coordinate 179,566,141 of NC_000004.12, read as the reverse complement.
GACTGTTCAAAAAAATTGAGGAGAAGGAAGTACTCCCAAAGCCTTTCAACAAGGCCAGTATTACTCTGATGCTGAAACCAGACAAAGATGCAACAACAAAAGGTAACAACAGGCCAATATGTCTGATGAACACATTTGCAAAAATTCTCAACAAAATAGACTTTGCTGGTGCCTCATCAAAAACACTTGTGACAAAAACAACCAAGTGGTACATTTGTTTCAGCCATGGCCTCTGAATAACCAAAATATATGTTGAACTAGTTCAAAGCTGCAACAAGAATTCCTCATATAATTTCTCTCTTCTCATTGGTAACATTACACTGTTTTTAATTCATAAATGATATTGACATTTATTCTATTTCCTTTTTATAATTATAACTGAGGGATGAGGGGACAATTGTGGATAATCAAAACATCTACAGAGTAGCACTGTTTCTGTAGACATGGCTTCAAGGGATTTTGCTGTATCAGGGCCTGCCATAATTAAGGGCTGTTATTCATCTGTCTTCCTGCTACTCCAGGGCTTGCAATGTTTCAGGTCCTGTCATATTTCAGGGATTCCCATATTCTAGTGCACCATACAGAAAAGAAAATGAGCTAAGACTGAAAGGTATGAGCTACAACGCTGGCTTGCTGGAGTGGCTCCTAGGCATAGGCATTCAAGGAGATGACAGAAAAGAGGCATGCTCAAATGCTTGTGAATGGATCGCTCCCAGTTCAAGCCAGTTCTCTACTTTATGATCCCAAGAGACTTGGTCTAAAGAAAAACGGGTTAAAGTAAAACTGAAACTGAGGGTTAATGGTTAGAAGAACCTGGTCCCAGAAAAAATGGTAATAATATCAGGAAGAATTTCCCCATTTTTCAATGAAAACAATGTCTACACCCATGACAAACTTAAAGGACAAAGGAATAAATGGAAATATATGCAAATTTATTGAAAAAGATGGTGGAAGGAGGAGGAGAAGGAGAAGCAAGAACAGGAGAAAAGGAAGTAGAGAGGAAAGAGGAGGGTGAGGAAGAAAGAGAAAAAAGAATGCAAAATGCAACTGAGAAATCCAATCAAGAAGAGAAAGCATGATTCAAAAAACAGAAGCAGATTCCCTAGTTGTAGTTTATTTCATAGATAAATTAAATGAATTCAGTAAATCATTGTATTCAAATACAAACTAATGAAATAATGTGTTGAAATAAGATTGCAGAGTGAGGGAATCAGAATCAGAACCAATCTAAGATCATTATAGTACAAATGAACAATTTAGAAAAAAGGGACAAGAAAGAATGCTCCAATTTTTCCAAAAGGGAAGCATTCCAAAAAATTGGCCTTGAAAATCTATTTCAAGTAAACAAGTCTATCCATAAAATAAATGGCCACCAGGGTTAATTGCTATAGGTCATTGATCTTGAGGCACACTACTTTTAAGAATATTGACACTTAGGGAGAAATAAACTAATTGGGGTGTCTCATATAAAAAGCAGAGCATCACAACTGCCCTAAGTTTGTAACTTATGCATAGGAAATGACATGAACTATATAAAAAGGAAAGCAAGAGACTATTGAACATGGGATTCAGGCCTGAGCAGGTGAGGCAGAAGTTGAAATGATGAGGAGTGGTGCGGTTAGATATAGGTTATTTTCAAGGATTTTGCTTTGTTGAGGATGACAGATTTGTGCTTAATAATTATGGGTATTATTATTATACTTTTTTGGGAGGGGGATGGAGTTTCACTCTTGGTGCATAGGCTGGAGTGTAATGGCGCCATCTCGGCTCACCACAACCTCCACCTCCAGGGTTCAAGCAATTCTCCTTTCTCAGCCCTTATGAGTAGCTGGGACTGCAGGCAGGCACAATCTTGTATTTTTAATAGAGACAGGGTTTCTCCGTGTTGGTCAGGCTGGTCTCAAACTCCCGCCTTCAAGTGATCCACCCGCCTCAGTTTCCCAAATTGCCGGGATTTATTGTTATACTTTTTAACTAAGATATAACATAATGCAGGAAAGTACACACAATCTTTAACTTGAAAACATTTTGTATATGTACTACCACTTGTAACTGCCCCCCAGACTAAGATAAAGAACATTTCCAGCCTCAGAGAAGGTTCCTTTGTGCCTGAAAACATTCTCTGCTCTGTCAGGCAGAAACAGTGATTAAAGCTAAATGTAACCCCGCATTGAACCAGGTCAAGGAGCTGTGGCTGTAGTTTAGAGTGAGTCTGCGTTTGGCTTGTTTCTGTTTCTTGGGTGTAGCCCTCCTGGAATTTTGATTGGCACGCCTTTGGCTCTGGTGTGAGATGCAGTTTGGTGTTTTGGAATGTAGAGCCTCGCTCTGTACCCCCATCCTCCTGAGGCTTCAGAGTCCTGCCCATGTTCCTTGAGTGGGAAACCAGTGGTATATTTGACAAAGCTTTCCCCTCCAGTGGAAATTTTCTCCCAAGAATCTTCAGAGTGAGCAAGTTTCATCTATCTTTCTGGCCTAGCTAATGCTCTTCTTAGTCTTATCTGTCTCCTCAGCTTTGAATATTCTCCCCCAGGGAAATTTTGAGCTTAGTGTTTTTATTTAGCTTTAAGTCCCTGCAGGATCAAAATCTAGCAGGTATCTTTGATTTGTATGTTGAAACTCCTTCACCGTAAATGAATTTTGTTTCCTAATTCTCCCAGTTTGCTTCCACATTCAGCAAAAGCTTCTCTGGTTTCTCTTTCTTCTGACAATTCCATCTGCCTGGGTTACTTTATAGAGGATCCTGCACGTCCCCTTCTCATGCTCACCTCTGCCAATATCTGTTGTGCCCTTAAAATCATCTTTCTTTTGTGAACTTCTCTATTAGTCTGTTCTTGCATTGCTATAAACAAATACCTGAGATTGGGTAATTTCTAAAGATAAGAGGTTTAATTGACCCAGAGTTCCACGGGCTGAACAGGAAGCATGGAGGGGGAGGCCTCAGGAAACTGACAATCATGGTGGAAGGCGAAGGGGAAGCCAGCATGTCCTACATGGCTGGAGCAGAAGGAAGAGAATGTGAAGTGGGAGGTGCTGCACATTTTGTGTGTGTGTGTTTGAGGGGAAGTCTCTCTCTGTCTCCCAGGCTGGAGTGCAATGGCACAACCTCAGCTCACTGCAACCTCCACCTCCAGGGTTCAAGTGATTCTCCTGCCTCAGCCTCCCGAGTAGCTGGAATTACAAGAGCCCGCCATCACGCCCGGCTAATTTTTATACTTTTAATAGAGACCAGTTTTCACTATGTTAGCCAGGCTGGTCTTGAATTCCTGACCTCAGGCAATCTGCCTGCCTCAGCCTCCCAATGTGCTGAGATTACAGCCATGAGCCACCTTGCCCAGTACTACACACTTTTAAACAATCAGATCTTGTGAGAATTCAATCACAAGACAGCACCAAGGGGGGATGGCACTAATTAGAAACCACTCCCATTATCCAATCACCTCCCACCAAGCCCCACCTCCAACACTGGGAATTACAATTCAACATGAGATCTGGGTGGGGATAAAGATCCAAACCATATCAACTTCCAATTATGGGCATGGATGATTATGCTTACTCTACCTCTAACCTATTCATTTCCGACCATGAATTGGGAGAATCATAACTGGAAAACAAAGTTGTTTATCTCATTCAGTGACAAGGTAGGGAAATTATTTTATTGCTAAGTGACAAGCACCTATTAATGTGAGTAAAGCACGTGACAGCTCAGGTCCTAAAGCATCATTTCTACATATATATCTTGAAGTAACAGGATGTTCTCTGGATTAGCTTTTTAAATTTACTCAGATGTGAGTTGTATAAGAGTTGATAAGAGGAGGTTAAAGGATGCTGGGAATAGATATCTGGACAAATCAAGGTTTTGGTTAAAAAAAGATCCTTTAAATTAGACCACGGCATATCAGTGTTTGTGATAGAGTTTGGGCCATGCTGTTCTTACTTGCACAAAATTTGAATAGCTGATGCTTGAGCAAAGATGCTCAAACTTCACTCACATGCTAAAAGCTATAAAATTATATTTATTCACAATCATTAAAATATACAAATTACTTCTTTGGGCAAAGCAGAAACTTTTCTTTTAGACAAGCTGAATTTCCAAACTTAATCCAGTAATTAACTGATAATTTATTTTCATGTAATACGGTTGAGTATATGTAATATGGTTAAGTATTGTTTGAAGATGTTCGTGTATTAAAATATTCATATAAAATAGTGGAATATGCTATAGCTTTAGATGGGGGCTAAAAGCTGAGCACTTTCAATTACATGCTGGTAGATCACTGGAAATGTGGAGATGAGGACATTCAAGTTACACTTTGCAAAAATCTACATGCAAATGGTGGTATAGAGAATGATGAAATAGATATTTTCTTATAAAAATATTCATTAGCTGAAACATGTGAATATTAGATTATTCTTATATTATAGGAAATGAGGTTCAGTGATGTGTCTTTTGTTTCCTTTTCTAATAATCAGTAGTATATTAAATGCTGTTATTTAAAAACTTTTGTTTTATATATTTATATCATATTATGGCATAATATCAATTTAATTTTTGTATAATTTTTATATTATTTTTATGAGACTACTTTACTGTTTACCCTGCCCTCTTTTTAAGGCTCCCAGTAGATATGTATTTTTGTTTCTACTTCAAGTATGGAATTGGATTAGAAAATAATAGCACAAATTATCATAAAGAAAAAATGTTAAAACATCTGGAAATGTAATTATATTTTAAAATACTGAGTTGAGTGGAGTCTGTCAGTATAAATTTATATACACAAGATAGGCATTCTTCAAAATGTTACTGTTTTTATTAATTGTATATAAATACAAAGTTGAATTATGGTGCAAACATTGTGAGCCTGATAATCATATGGTTTTGTATCATATTATCTTTCAACTTTTCTGTAGTTTTGAGATTTTTTTTCAAAATTTTTTTTAAACTGGGAAAATATGACAAACACTCAAATTTTGATGAGGTAGCATGTCTAAGATAAAACAAGCTTCTTTTCAGCATCTAAGCCATGTCTCTTCATGGCCTTGATGCTCTTTACCCCCAACTCATTTGGGTTGAGGAGTTCTGTGCCAGGATGGGGTACATTCTTCACAAAAGTGTTCCTTTTTCCATGTTGCTAAACCCCAAGTTTTTTCATGTTTAATCCTTCGAGGAGCTTTCTAAAGCTTTCAAACCCCACACTCCAGCTGTCGAGGCCTGGCTGTAGGTGGAGGGAATGGAACTCTTCCTGACTCCACTCACCAAGAAGAGTTAGTCCAATTGCTTATTGGCACGCTGAATTTCCTGTCGGGGAATGAGATGAGGTCTTAAATTATCTCTGCCACATAAAACTTATGAGAAATCTTGAAACGGTCGAGTATATCTGCCTGTAACTGATCAGACATGGACCACCTAATGTGAAATTATATAAAAACACATTGTTAGAGTTGTAGTTAGAATTGCTGCACTGATTTTGTGGGCTTAACAGCCATTGAGATGAAGATGTCATTTAGGTTTGGTTCTGTGCCCTAAAATTAGCAGCGTTCCTCCTTGGCATTTTTATCCCCAACGATGCTAATTGTTCTTCCAGCACTCTGTTTAATTTCTGTGGGGTTTGCTATTCTGCCTGTCATCTGTCTTCCTGAGCCTCTGTCAGTGATCTATGAGGCAACTGATTGTTCCTGTCAGCCTACCTTAAAGAGCCAATGAAAATGAACACCTCTGAAACTGCGCCCAAGCAACACTGGCTTCTGATGTGTTCATTTTCACGCCCCTCTTTGGCTACACTCTATTACTTTCATCTTATATGCTATTTTATAATGTGACCTTAGTCATAAAAAAAAACCCTACTTGAATTTTAAGTGGTACTTAAGAGAAAGCAATGTTGTGAAAAAGGAGAAAAAAAGGAAAATAGGCTTTCTTTTTAAGGTGTTGCTTGTTATATGCGAGAGTGTTAATCACAGCCAGAATGAGACTTTCAAATCTCAACAAAATAATAGATCAATGCTTCTGAGTTTTTAGTCAGGGAAATGTGTTTTCTTATTTTATAGAAAACACAACTTCTTTGATAACCTTGTTTTTCATCGTTGTGTAAAATATGAGTTTATATATTTTTATTTAGTTTCTGGTTGACTGGGCATACTATAGTGTTATAGTGTTTTATATGAAATCAGCACATAATATTAAAAATGCTGTCACTCCTAAATAAGGGTGTGGAGGAGACTGTATGTTCAAAATGTTCCAGTTTATATCCTGAATTTTTTTGAAGGACTTCCTGCTGACTGGTGTGTGAATTAAAATTTGAAATTTCTCTATTAATCATGCCCATTTTGTATTAAATGTATATCCAGATAACATCTACTTCAAAAAGTTTATGAAGCTAAAATGGTTACAGAGTAATTTATTAAAATGGTAATTTGTTTCTTTGGTCTTTGTATTGTCCTCTCCAGTGTTCTACAAATTATAGTTGGTTTTAGGCTTCATTGCTTCAGAGAATTATTTTTGGGGGGGTGCGGGCAGAATGGAGTTGCAGTCCAAAGTCAAGGTTTGGCCTCTGCTGTGGACTGAATGTTTGTGTCCTCTCCAAGTTTACAGGTTGACACTCTAATCTCCATTGTGATGGTATTTGGAGATGAGGACCTTGGAAGCCAATTAGGGTTAGATTCAGTTATGAAGTTGGAACCCTCATTATGGAATTAATGCCCTCAGTAAAAGAGGAGATTTATTACAACTGAATTGTACACTTGAAAATAGTAAAGATGGTAAGAGTAAATGTGTATATATATATATATATATATATATATATATATATATTTTTTTTTTTTTTTTTTTTTTCTTTTTTGTGACGGAGTCTCTCTCTGTCACCCGGGTTGAAGTGCAGTGGCACAATCTCGGCTCACTGCAACCTCTGCTTCCCAGGTTCAAGTGATTCTCCTGCCTCAGCTTCCTGAGTAGTTGGGATCACAGGTGCACACCACCACACCCAGCTAATTTTGTATTTTTAGTAGAGATGGGGTTTCGCCATGTTGGCCAGGCTGGTCTCGAACTCCTAACCTCGGGTGATCTATTTGCCTCAGACTCCTAAAGTGCTGGGATTACAAGCATGAGCCACCGTACCTGGCCGTAAATATATATTTTACCTCCATTAAAAAATGAATTTTTTTAAAAAAGAGAAGTCAAGGGATCTGTCTTTTCCTCTGCATCCATATACCAAGGAAAGTCATGTGAGGACATCACCAGGAAGAGGGCCTTCATCAGGAACCCCACCATGCTGGCATCCTGATCTCAGACCTTCAGCCTCCTGACTGTGAGAAATAAATCTTTGCTGGTTAATCCATCCAGGCTGTGGTATTCTGTTACAGCAGCCCAAACTCATTAAGACACCACTATTTTGTAAAAGCCAAATCCCAAAGAGACAATGAAGCTAAATGGGTCTAAAGAGAAGTGCAGAAGAAAATATTTGAGGTCAATGAAATGGAAAGACAGCTATTGTATTTCAAGAGACAAGACAGAGGAATGTCTTCCAGGATCTGTCTCTGCTTCCTCATAGAGGTAGGAGAAAATAAGACAAGACTTTAGATAGAAATGGAGGGACAGACACTCAGATCCAATTAGAAAAAGGAATATCCAGCCTCATCCAAGAGCCCTGGATCCCGAGGTGTCATGGAAGAAGACTTTAAGGGCCACACTAACAACCAAAGAACAAAGCCCCTCACCCCCAACCAATGAAACGTAACTCCATATGGCCATTTTACAATCCCGGTGGGGTGTAGAAGGCAGACAGTGGCTTTGATTATCGATAATGTGTATTTTTTAAACCTAAAGAAATGCAATTTAGCTGACCCTTGAACAACATGGGTTTGAAATTCTCAGGTTCACTTCTGCCTCTGCACTCCTGAGACAGCAAGATCAACTCCTTCTCTTCTTCCTCAGCCTACTCAACATGAAGATGACAAGGATGTAGATCTTTGTGATGATTCACTTCCACTTAATAAATAGTAAATATATTTTCTCTTCCTTATGATTTACTTAATAACATTTTCTTTTCCCAAGCTTACTTTGCTGCAGGGATACAGTATATAATACATATAACATACAAAATACATGCTAATCCACTGCCTATGTTATTAGTAAGGCTTCTGGTCAAGAGTAGGCCATTTGTAAGGTTTTGGGGAAGTCAAAAGTTACATGTGGATTGTTGACTGTGCAGGGGTTGGTGTCCCTAACCCCTGTGTGGTTTAAGGGTTAACTTGATTCTCACACCTTAATTTTGAGATCTGAATTTGCTAACTGATATAAAATTATAGGCAGATGTAGAGATGTGGAAGAGAAAAATGTTTTATCTTCAGATATAGTTCTACACCATTTTTCAAAATATATGAAGTTAGTGTAAACAAATTATCAAAATTGCCTTAGATGGTCTGACTATATAATGAAATAAATTTCTATAATTCTAGTTAATTTTATAATTGTCAAGTAACGTGTGTTTTCTTTATAAAAGGAATGGTGGAAATGTATGTATCAGTAGTCAATTTTTCCAGGGAGAAATTTTTGCAAATGTTACAAGACTCCAAGGAAAGTTGAGCTAGGAGCTTGTCTACTTTCCCACATGCAGCTACCCTGTCTTCCCTGATATAGATGACATCAGTACCGCTACTTATATATATATATATCTAGCTACTTTCCCCAAGGTAACATTTTCTTACCTAAGTTTAGACTCAGCAAAATAGTGTAAAAGCTGTATAGTATATATTATCAATGCAATAAGATGGATTTTTGGTTTTTAGTCTATTTGCCAATCTACAAGGGGGCATGTAAGTAGTACACACATATACATTATAACTACTTACCTGCACAGGAAAATTAAGTTCTGTTCTTGTCTACTGGCTTTTCTATTATTTCTCTTCCATTAACTCTCTTGGAAGCTGCAAGCCAAATTTTGTTGCTATATCCATAGGTGACGCTGTGTATTTCTGTCCTTCCATACTACCTGGAATATTTCATCCTACAATAGCATCAAAAAACTCAATTTTACTAGCCTTTATTCAGTCTTCACACACTTAACCTAATATCAAATGGCATTAAGTCTAGTGCAAGTTTAAAACAAAGCAGGACATGATTGTGAGCTGAGTTGGGAGAATGACTTTGAACTTGGAAACCTGGCGACTGACACACACAGTTGTTAGCTTGAACACAAGCCTGAAACTGATCAAAAGGGTCAATTTAATCACAGATATTGAATTGAGGGTAAGGGATCAGTCAAGAAAATCTTAAGGCTGGGAAATGTTCAGAGAAGTTACTGACAGAATAGAGCATGTATATACTTCAAAATAACTTAGAGAAGATAATCGTTCATACTACTGTCAATTTTTATTGTTGTTTGACATGTATGTGATTCCGTTCACCACTAAATAATGGTTAAGTTATCTGGTGGCATGATATCCATTATGATAACACACACATTAAAAATATTTTAAGTGTTAACGGCTGTAAAATGCTCCATAATATTATGATTTAAATTGAGTTTTTGTATTATTATGATGCTATTGGGGCTAAGTAACTAGTAATGTCAAAATTCTGTATTGTAACCTCTTTCTATAGTATTCCAACATTTGATAGATAAATGTAAGTATGACAATAAAAATTAGATATAAAAAAGCTGTTTGTTATAATTAATAAAATGTCATGGAATGCTTTGCCTAGTAAAATATATCTGCGTGAGAAGAAAGGAAGAAGGGAAAGAGAGGTGGGGGGGCAGGGTGAGAATCCTCTCATCTACTCATCTGCATGGAATTTTAAAAAGAGAAAAAATACCAGTGTTGCATTAAGAGACCCTAGGTCTCAATCAAGACAACAAAGAGTGAGGTTATTCACTGTGTCCATGTGTTACATTAAATGGTGTCCTGAACTCAGACCCATTAGATAAGTGAGGAGAGTCAGGCTTCTCCTGAACTTATATCTAAGTATTAGGGTCACCTGTGGTGGCTCACACCTTTAATTCCAGCATTTTGGGAGGGTGAGGTGGGAGGATTGCTTGACGCCTGAAGTTAGAGACCAGCCTGCGCAACATAGCCAGATCTCGTCTCTACAAAAATATAAAATGATTAGGTCACAAGGGAAACACAATTTGCCCTTTAAAATTTAAAATGGCAAAGTTGAAATGTAAAGATAGCGTTTTGTTAATTTAGGGTGACAAGAGATTGTAAATACCTGACTCCATTGAGCAGGAACATTCTGTACAAAATTTAGTAAGTACAAGCCTTATTATATCCATTTCACCTTGTTCCAATTCCTCATATGGGGTAAGGATGGATTGATTCCTCCTGGGTTCCAGGAAAGGGAGTACATGAGGCAGAAAAACACAGTAATTTTCCAAGCGTTATATGTGCAATTCAGTGGCGAAGACAACAAAGCTTAGTGTTAGCCATATCTCTCCTGAGAGTCAATTGACTCTCAATCTGATTTTATGCTTACAATACACTCTTTGTTTCTTTCCCTTTACTGTTGCCCTTATATATAAATATAGGTTACCTGGCAAAGGAAGATTAAGTTTGCAGATAAAGTTAAGGATAATAATCAGCTGACTTTGAGATTGAGAGAAGAACCTAGATTATCCAAGTGGGTCTAATGTATTCAGGAGAGTCCTTATTGGGGAAAGAGGGAGGAAGAGAGAGAGAGAACAAGAGGGAGGCAGGGTGGAAAGATCACAACCTCCTCTTGCTGGCTTTGAAGATGTTAGGAGAGAGATGCAAGCATGAAATGCAGGTGGCTTCTAGAAGCTAGAAAAGTTAAGGTTGTGATTCTTCTCAAGAGCCACCCTAAGGAATGCAGTTATGCTGACATATTGATTTTAACCCAGTGATATCCATTAAATATATATCTATATAGGCAATATATAAATAGAACACAGAGTATATATATTCTATTTTAAATATATATATTTTAATATTACTCTACTTTAAATATATTTTATTTTGTGTTTTGTTGACATGATGGAGAAAGTTAAAAGTGTGTCATCTAGCTGACAGTGGTAATTCTCATTTTAAAAAAAGATTATTATTTATGATCAGATAGGAATCTTTGTGAATGCATTTTTTTTTCCTGCATACAAATGATATGCATGCCTTGTAGAGAGACCTGAGTCACTTGAATCGTACAGCTTTCACTAAGGTCAATTCTAGACTGTGTAATACCTTAGAGTTTTGTTTTCTATTAATGCTATAAAAATTATCACAAGTTAGTACATTTAACAAGAAGAATTTATTATCTTATTATTTTGGAGGGATCTCAGAAGTCTGAAATGGATACATTTAGCTAAAATCAATATGTCAGCAGGGCTACATTCCCTGGGGTGGCTCTTGGGAAGAATCACAACCTTGCTTTTCTAGCTTCTCGAAGCCACCTGCATTTCATGCTTGCATTTCTCTCCCACCATCTTCAAAGCCAGCAAGAGGAGGCTGTGATCTTTCCACCCTGCCTCCCTCTTGTTCTCTCTCTCTCTTCCTCCCTCTTTCCCTAATAAGGACCCTCCTGAATATATTATACCCACCTGGATAATCCAGGATCTTCTCCCCATCTCAAAGTCAGCCGATAATTATTCTTAACTTTATCTGCAAACTTAATTCTCCTTTGCCATGGAACTGGACATATTTACAGGTTGCAGAGATTAGTGTGTGGGCCTCTTCCGGGGCCTTCTCCACTCAGATTGCATTAGTGAACAATCACAATTACATACAATCAAATATGGAAGTACTCACTTATTCCTCAATATCATTTGTTCAAGTGAAAAATTTTCACTCAAATGATTTAGGTGTTAGTGTAGGAGAAGAAAAGGCATAAACTGGTAAATGAGAGAGAGACAGAGAGAGATTGAGAGAGAGAGAGGAGAAAGAGAGTGAGAGAGAGAAAGGAAAGTAAAAGCTTACTTGAAAATGAAATTAGAGGGAAAAACATCTCTAAGTCATTGATAGGTATTAAAAACCATCCGGTGATAAATAGTAGGTGACCTGGTGTGGGGAAAAGCAAGAGAGATCAGACTGTTACTGTGTCTATGCAGAAAGAAGTAGACATAAGAGACTCCATTTTGTTCTGTACTAAGAAAAATTCTTCTGCCTTGAGATGCTGTTAATCTGTAACCCTACCCCCAACCCTGTGCAGAAACATGTGCTGTGTGGACTCAAGGTTTAATGGATTTAAGGTTATGCAGGATGCGCTTTGCTAAACAAATGCTTGGAGTCAGCATGCTTGTTAAAAGTCACAACCACTCCCTAATCTCAAGTACCCAGGGACACAAAACACTGTGGAAGGCTGCAGGGACCTCTGCCTAGGAAAGCCAGGTATTGTCCAAGGTTTCTCCCCATGTGATAGTCTGAAATATGGCCTCGTGGGAAGGGAAAGACCTGACCATCCCCCAGCCCGACACCCCTAAAGGGTCTGTGCTGAGGAGGATTAGTAAAAGAGGAAGTCCTCTTTGCAGTTGAGATAAGAGGAAGGCATCTGTCTCCTGCTGCTCGTCCCTGGGCAAGGGAATGTCTCAGTGTAAAACCGGATTGTATATTCCATCTACTGAGATAGGAGAAAACCGCCTTAGGGCTGGAGGTGAGACATGCTGGCAGCAATACTGCTCTTTAATGCACTGAGATGTTTATATATGTGCACATCAAAGCACAACACCTTTTTCTTAACCTTGTTTATGACGCAGAGACATTTGTTCACATGTTTTAGCTGCTGACCCTCTCCCCACTACTACCCTATTGTCCTGCCACATCCACTTCTCTGAGATGGTAGAGATAATGATCAATAAATACTGAGGGAACTCAGAGACTGGTGCTGGCGCAGGTCCTCTGTATGCTGAGCGCCTGTCCCCTGGGCTCATTTTTCTTTCTCTATACTTTTTCTCTGTGTCTCTTTCTTATGTCAGTCTCTTGTCCCACCCGACGAGAAACACCCACAGGTGTGGAGGGGCAGGCCACCCCTTCAACCTGGGTCATTGGCATCACTTGGGAGTGTGTTGAAACTGCAGATTCTCAGGACCCACCCCAAACCTATGGGACAAGAATCTGCATGTTAATAATATACCAAGGTGATCTGTGGCCCATTAATAGTTGAGAAACCCTGGCCTGGATAACAATGTTGCTCTCTCTGCAATGCATTGTTTAAAAATTGCAGGCTCTAGAATAAAGGATATCTAATTTCAAAGTCCATCTTTGCCACGTATGAAGAATTTCTTAGCTTCCCCAAGCCTCAGTCATCTCATATGTAAAATATGCTTATTAATTACCTACTTAAATGGATAGTTGAAAGGATTAAATGTAACAATTCATGTAAAATGCTTATAATGTTCAAAGGTGTTAGTGATTTTTATTATTACTTCTTTTTTAGAGAAACCATAATGCAGGTGAATGTAGACAAATCCAGGAATTTAAACTGCGTCCTAGCTCTGGGACTTTTGGCAGGTTGAATGGCAGAACCCATTCTGAGCCTATGTTTTCTTCAAGTGTTAAAATGGAACATTAATGCTTTTGTGAGAATCTTTTTAAAAGGAACACACATAGTATTCCTAAGATTATGCCTAAAATTTCTTAAATACTTAAAGTATATGTAAAATGATAATAACAAAATGGCATCCTCTATCATAATAATAGCTCCTGGGATCTGACCTGTTTTATATCAGAGACTGACTCCATCTGTAGCTGGGTCAAATAACATTAATATAACTTTAAGAAAAGCACAGACATTTAGCCAAGCCATGTCTGTATTTTCTGTGAAGCATAGAGGAATCTGCACATGGCCAAGTCCTATTGAAAGCCAATTTGGGGCACTTTCACAGTATAGAGTCCAGACATCTGGCTTATAATTTTCAGAATCCTCAATGGAAAGAATGTTTTGCAGCAGATAACGATATAAACAATTTACGTATTTTCATACTTGAGAGGAGATGACCTTCATAACTTACTTGTAGCTTCATTTCTTATTACTTATGAGTCATTCAATAAATGATAGAAATAAATTATATTGCTCAACTGCCCTTTGTTATATATCCTCATTGTAAATGGATATTTTTCATTGTCTTGACATATTTGCAACAATAATGTGTTTTCAGGCTATAAATATTGATAGAGCAAAGATGTGTGTGTTTGCACTTTGAATATTTGGTAAGTTTCACAAACACCTATAGAATGAACATTAGTAGGAAGCTTCACTTATCCTCCAAAGGACAGTTCATGCTGCAGAGGTTTAAGAAATATCTTTCATCAAATGAGTTGTTTCCACTAAACAATTATTTAATTTTAACTTTTAATATTTTTATTTTTAAGTTTTAAGTTTGTATCCAGACTATTAATCATTATAAGGAAATGTACGGATATGTGACATTATATAATTCCCCTGAGTGAGTAAAATGTTTAAAAATTTAATGTAGAATTCTATAAAAGCAATTTTTATTTTGAATAATCTCATTATTAGTTAAACATGATGAAAAGCTGGATACATTGTCTAACTGTGGAAGGATTTTTTCATGCAGGGTGCCCATGCAGTGGGCGTGGAAGAGAGGGATGGAGAAGAAAAACAAGAGTAAGCATCTTTCCCATCATAATTGCTGTTATTTATTTTTAAACAAATGCACCCTTTCTATAGTGCTTTTAAAAATGAAATTACATAAACTTCTGTCTAATTTAAATCCCACAACAGTGGAGCTTATTAAAAAGCAGATGCACCTCTGTCTTGACTCTATTTATGCAGTTACTGAGTCATACCCCTCGGAATATCCCAAACAGAGGGACCATAATAGTGCCTGTTTCATAGTGTTGCTATGATTAGAGAAAATGAACCTAATATATGTATATGCTAAGAGCAGTGTTGGTGCATAGTAAGCAATCTTCCACCCATTATTTTTTCCTACCCCGTAGATCCCACCTCCCAATGCCTAAGTCCCACTGAATGAATTATATGTGGTTCTTTGAATGCGGCGCGCCTTTCCCCGTGGCTCCCTTTGCACATGTTCCTCCCCGCATTTTGGTGCCAAATTTCTCTCCCATCCCAGGACCACTGCTGTTTCCCCCTCTGGCCCTCGCCATTCCCAACCTACACATACGTGGCACAAAGACTTGGACATCTACTCCTCTTGCAGGACGCATCTCAAGCATTCTTGCATATCCCCATTTTCATCACACCTCTTTGGCTTAAATAACAAACAGAAAGTGCAGGAGAGAAACGAACTTTGGAGAAAACTGAATCCAGGAATCATCAAAGTCTTTTCTCTTTTCTTCCTCTTTATTCTCTCTCATTACAGATGGGTTTTTCACTTCCAACAGCTTGCGATCAACATCCCTCAGGTTATTGAAGAACTCTAGAGGAGAGAGAATGTCAGAAACAAAAATTGCTATAGTGTCATTCTGAGAATTCATGACGCTTGCCGTTTTAGATCCACTTTTAAGCAATGAGGAAAAGAGCCTATAAGCGATTAAGCAGAGTTGGATTAAACATGTCTACACTTACATTGAAGTATTGATGTTTTCATATGTCAGTAGCCTAGCGTCAGAGGATGAAGAAATGGTTAAATTTTGCCCTGCAGAGAGAATACACAC
Source organism: Homo sapiens (assembly GCF_000001405.40). Taxonomy (NCBI): domain Eukaryota; kingdom Metazoa; phylum Chordata; class Mammalia; order Primates; family Hominidae; genus Homo; species Homo sapiens. Next base: position 179,550,565 of record NC_000004.12, on the reverse strand, counting down.
ACACACACACACACAGACACACACAAACTGTACACAAGATAAATATGTAAAATAAGAGGTATTGGGGAAATAGCAGAGGTGTAGCGAAGTAAACACACTTCCTTGAGACCATGTTATTTAATGAAGAAAGGTGTTAGGCTGGGCCTAAACCTTGCATATCAGGTGGTCAGTGGCCAGTGGAGAAAGAGGTTCTACTCCAAAGTTTGCTTTGTGGAAGTGAGCAGTGCACAAAAGTATGTTAGAAGTGGGAAAGCTGTATGAGTCTACAGCAACCTCAATTTTTGCCTCCTCAGAAGAAAGAATTTGACCAAGGAGCATAAGGCAGAATGAGAGATGGAGGTAAGTTTCAAAGCAGGAGTGAAAGTTTATTTAAAAATTTTAGGGCAGGAACGAAAGGAAGTAAAGTACACTTGGAAGAGGGCCAAGCAGTGCCTTGCAAGATCAAGTGTGTGGTTGGACTTTTTTATTATTATGATTATACTTCCAGTTCTGACGTACATGTGCAGAACATACAGGTTTGTTACATCGGTATACACATGCCATGGTGGTTTGCTGCACCCATCAACCCATAATCTACATTAGGAATTTCTCCTAATGCTCTCCCTCCCCTAAACCCCCACCCCTCAACAGCCTCCAGTGTGTGATACCCCCTCCCCGTGTCCATGTGTTCTCATTGTTCAACTCCCACCTATGAGTGAGAACATTCAGTGTTTGGTTTTCTGTTCTTGTGTTATTTTGCTGAGAATGATGGTTTCCAGCTTCATCCATGTCCCTGCAAGGGACATGAACTCATCCTCTTTTGTGGCTGCGTAGTATTCTATGGTGTATGTGTGCCATATGTCTGTCATTGATAGGCATTTGATCTGGTTCCAGGTCTTTGCTATTGTGAACAGTGCCACAATAAACATACGTTTGCATGTGTCTTTATAGTAGAATGATTTATAATTCTCTGGGTATATACCCAGTAATGGGCTCGCTGGGTCAAATGGTATTTCTAGTTCTAGATCCTTGAGGAATTGCCACACTGTCCTCCACAATGGTTGAACTAATTTACACTCGCAGCAACAGTGTAAAAGCATTCCTATTTCTCCAAATCCTCTCCAGCATCTGTTGTTTCCTGACTCTTTAATGATCACCATTCTAACTAGAGTAAGAAGGTATCTCATTGTGGTTTTGATTTGCATTTCTCTAATGAGCAGTGATGATTAGCTTTTTTTCATGTGCTTCTTGGCCACATAAATGTCTCCTTTTGAGAAATGACTATTCATATCCTTCGCCTACTTTTTGATGGGGTTTTTTTTTCTTGTAAATTTGTTTAAGTTCTTTGTAGATTCTAGATACTAGCCCTTTGTGAGGTGGATAGTTTGCAAAAATTTTCACCCATTGTGTAGGTTGCCTGTTCACTCTGATGATAGTTTATTTTGCTGTGCAGAAGTTCTTTTGTTTAATTAGATCCCATTTGTCAATTTTGGCTTTTGTTGCCATTGTTTTTGGCGTTTTAGTAATGAAGTGTTTGCCTATGCCTATGTACTGAATGGCATTGCCTAGGTTTTCTACTAGGGTTTTTATGGTTTTAGGTACTACATTTAAGTCTTTAATCCACCTTGAGTTAATTTTTGTATAAGGTGTAGGGAAGGGATCAAGTTTCAGCTTTCTGCATATGGCTAGGCAGCTTTCCCAACACCATTTATTGAATAAGGAATGCTTTCCCCATTGCTTGCTTTTGTCAGTTTTGTCAAAGATCAGATGGTTCTAGATGTGTGGTGTTATTTCTGAGGCCTCTGTTCTGTTCCATTGGTCTGTATATCTGTTTTGGTACCAGTACCATGCTGTTTTGGTTACTGCAGCCTTGTAGTATAGTTTGAAGTCAGGTAGCATGATGCCTCCAGCTCTGTTCTTTCTGCTTAGGATTGTCTTGGCTATGCAGGCTCTTTTTTTGTTTCATATGCAATTTAAAGTAGTTTTTTCCAATTCTGTGAAGGAAGTCAATTGTAGCTTGATGGAGATAGCATTGAATCTATAAATTACTTTGAGCAGTATGGCCATTTCATGATATTGATTCTTCCTATCCATGAGCATGGAATGTTTTTCCATTTGTTTGTGTCGTCTCTTACTTCCTTGAGCAGTCATTTGTAGGTCTCCTTGAAGAGGCCCTTCACATCCCTTGTAAGTTGTATTCCTAGGTATTTTATTCTCTTTGAAGCAATTGTGTATGGGAGTTCACTCATGATTTGGCTCTCTGTTTGTCTGTTGTTGGTGTATACGAATGTTTGTGATTTTTGCACATTGATTTTGTATCCTGAGACTTTGCTGAAGTAGCTTATCAGCTTAAGGAGATTTTGGGCTGAGACAATGGGGTTTTCTAAATATACAATCATGTCATCTGCAAACAGTGACAATTTGACTTCCTCTTTTCCTAATTGAATACCCTTTATTTCTTTCTCTTGCCTGATTGCCCTGGCCAGAACTTCCAATATTATGTTGAATAGGAGTGGTGAGAGAGAGGGCGTCCTTGTCTTGTGCAAGTTTTCAAAGGGAATGCTTCCAGTTTTTGCCTGTTCAGTATGATATTGGCTGTGAATTTGTCATAAATAGCTCTTATTATTTTGAGATACATTCCATCAATACCTAGTTTATCGAGAGTTTTTAGCATGAAGGGCTGTTGAATTTTGTCAAAGGCCTTTTCTGCATCTATTGAGATAATCATGTTTTTTTTTATTATTTCTGTTTATGTGATGGATTACATTTATTGATTTCCGTTTGTTGAACCAGCCTTGCATACCTGGGATGAAGCCAACTTGATTGTGGTGAATAAACTTTTTGATGTACTGCTGGTTTCAGTGTGCCAGTATTTTATTGAGGATTTTCTCATTGGTGTTCATCAGGAATATTGGCCTGAAATTTTCTTTTTTTGTTGTGTTTCTGCCAGGTTTTGTGTCTCTGCCAGGATGATGCAGGCCTCATAAAATAGTTAGGAAAGATTTCCCTCTTTTTCTATTGATTGGAATAGTTTTAAAAGGAATGGTACCAGCTCCTATTTGTACCTCTGGTAGAATTTGGCTGTGAATCCATCTGGTCCTGGACTTCTTTTGGTTGGTAGGCTATTAATTACTGCCTCAATTTCAGAACTTGTTATTGGTTTATTCAGGGATTCAACTTTCTCCTGGTTTAGTCTTGGGAGGGTGTATTTGTCCAGGAATTCATCCATTTCTTCTAGGTTTCCTAGTTTATTTGTGTAGAGGTGTTTATAGTATTTTCTGATGGTAGTTTGTATTTCTGTGGGATCGGTGGTGATATCCCCTTTATCATTTTTTATTGCTTCTATTTGATTCTTCTCTCTTTTCTTTCTTATTAGTCTGGCTAGCAGTCTATCTATTTTGTTAATCTTTTCAGAAAACTAGCTCCTGGATTTATTGATTTTTTGAAGGGTTTTCCTGTCTCTATCTCCTTCTGTTCTGCTCTGATCTTAGTAATTTCTTGTCTTCTGCTAGCTTTTGAACTTGTTTGCTCTTTCTTCTCTAGTTCTGTTAATTTCGTTGTTAGGGTGTCAATTTCAGATCTTTTCTGCTTTCTCTTGTGGACATTTAGTGCTATAAATTTCCCTCTACACACTGCTTTAAATGTGTCCCAGAGATTCTGGTATGTTGTGTCTTTGTTCTCATTGGTTTCAAAGATCATCTTTATTTCTGCCTTCATTTCGTTATTTACCCAGTAGTCATTCAGGAGCAGGTTGTTCAGTCTCCATGTAGTTGTGCAGTTTTGAGTGAGTTTCTTAATCCTGAGTTCTAATCTCATTGCACTGTGGTCTGAGAGACTGTTTGTTGTGATTTCTGTTCTTGTGTGGTTGGACCTTTGACTTGGGGTCTTATAGGCTGGCATTATGTATGCACAGTGGCCTGCCAGCGCTTGGAGGGGCACGTGCTCAGTGTGTTTACTGGAGTTGTATGCATGCTCACTTGAGGCATTCTTCCCCAACAATCCAGCATTCCTAGAAGAAGGTCAGACACCAGTTAAACTCCGCCATTTTGCCTCTTCATGGGCATGCTTGAGCTCACTCAACTAACTCCTGAGATTTTATCGGGAAGCTGCTAATCAGAGGTTTCAGGTTTTTTTCTATCTATTGGGAGACTGCCTTTCCCTGGTGCTGGCTGTGACCAATTTTTATTTTAGAGAAACAGCTTAAAAACTGCCTGACCATCACCTGATGGTCGCCTGACATTCCTGGTGGGGGTGTGGTGGGGGGGCTCTTTCCTGCCCTGCTCATGCCTGACTTGCTACCTACTGTAACATAGAAATTTTTGATGTAACTATACAGCCATAGAATTTTCGTATTCTGGAAGGCTAGGCCTTGCTGGTAAGGCATTCATAGACCAGGGTTTAGCAATTGACTCTGCTTCCTTAAGCTAACTCTGACCTGCTGTCTCTGATAAACTGCTGAAAAGTGGAAGAAATGACACTTCAAATTCATCCTGATGTGTCTCTTCATTTATCCACAGAACTCAAGGTGAGTTTGAGTTCTTTCCACTCAAGCTATTCCCAAAACAATAGACTTTAACATATGCAAATAATTATCAACTTATCTAAAGTAGATCTAAAAGTTAAAAATCGTCCTTGCTTAAACTCTTGGTTAAGATAGTTATAGAATGATTTCATTTGATTGTCTTCACAATTAATCAGTCATTCATTCAAGGTGAATTTGGAACTTCACTCTGCTTCCATTTGTATATTTTCTGTCTTTTGGCACTCATTCTTCATTGCATTTGTATGTTTCAATGCTTGAAGTCCAATCATCTCAACTATTTAGCACCAGCAGCTTCATAGTTGCTTCAAAACAATTGCAATCATGATGACTCAAATGACCTTTCTTTGAGAAATTGTACATCAAATTCACTACTTGCAACTGACAATATGGTTTCCATATCATACCCTACAATATATCAGATTTAAACTCTGGTTCTCAAAAACTAAAAGGTTCTGTTTCCCTTGCAGCCATTTGCATCTAATTAATACAGTCTTTTTAAAATCCATTGCTTTGGTGATGAAAGTGCTGCGCTGAAAAAAAAAAAAAAACTTTTAAAATGCCAACACAGTATGTCATATATTTACAACTCTTTGATAATGTTGTCATCTTATCATTCTAACCTTTTAGTCATCCCTAGATAGAGACAAGTATACCTTTTCCTTTGAACTTTGCCGTAGTTGCCCTAAACAGCAGATTTTATAATGAACTGCATTGATTACTTTTGATGTGATTTGTAATTGTGCACTTCAGTTTTAGAAATGACTCTGTCATGTCGTGTTTGTACCTTTGACAAACTGACCCACTTTTTGAAATGCTTTCCAATCTGTGGTTGAGTTAATGACCTAAATCTCTATCTTGATGGGTTCGGTGCATTTGACATCTTTCTCATAGGAGCAGGGAACTGTGATAGCTGGACATTACTCATATCTCTCTACCCATACTAGGAGCTTAATTGAAGCATGGTTTGCAAATGAGAGCCAGAAATCAACCAAAGAATTCAGTCCTCTCTTTAGCTGTATTCATGAAAGTTTAACTGGAAAGTTTACTCCAAACTCTAACTTAGCACACATCAAGTTATTGTAAAAGCAATTATTTACAAATTAAAATGCATCCAAATGCTTTAACTATGCTTAAATTTAGGAGATCTGGGCATGTGTGCAATGCTACCAATTTTATCACTGTAATTTCATAAGGATCTTTAGCATACAGAATTACAATGAATGTGGTGGTTCAGGGATTCAAATCTCCTTAAATACTCATTCACATGACAGACTGGAGCAATTAGTGTATAGTGACAATGGTGCATGGATAACAAGAGTGTCTCATACATTTCCGCTGAGAGTCATCTTCCATTATAATCATCCTAATGAAAAAATCACAGTGGTTGAAGGGAACTGCTATTGGTATAATGTTAAAAAAATAAAAATAAATGAACACTAAAAAACATCATTAAAGTCACATTAAGGAACTGATTGAAATTGACCAGAAAGGGAATAATCATGGAACTGTCATTACTACCTCTGTCTTACAGCTTTGAGTCCAGGTGCTACAGAAATCTCATGTCAGTGGGTGCCTGTGTTATTATATCGTTGCAGAGTATTGTGCATGGGGAAAATGACATACCCAATGATTCCAGTAGTTCTAGTTTGTCAGCTCAGGTTTAATCTCCACCATGGAATCTATTCTCCACTTAGAGCTTCCGTCCATGTACGGAAAGTTACATGAAGGCATTGAATAAAAAGTAAGTCGTTTTATTGTTAGCTATGTCAACTTAAAAAATGTGTTCACTTAAAAACTAGCTGTGTTTTGCATATTCAAACACATATTTTCAAGTGATTTCTCTTCCTGCTCCTTTAAATTTTTCTTTTCATAAAAATAACAAATAAAAGGACCTAAGCCCAAACTGAAGATAAAAAGGCAGAAGGAGAGATTTAACTGAGATTGATATCTAGAGAAACAGAGTGTAAATCAATACATGGGGTGGAATTGGTTTGTTGTAACATCAACCTGCCGTGCTAGCAGATGGAAGAACGATGTGCGTATGGACTTGGGATAAGAGGGTTCAAGCCAGGAAAGGCTGATGATGTTGCAGTGAGAGAATGTGTTGACAGCTCGGCTCATTTAGCGCCACTTTACCCCTGATCCTTGAATAACCAGCCCAGTATTGAGCTGCTGCACTTGGCAGGTAACAAATTGAATCTAGCTCATCTGCAAGTAAAATAGTCTCCCCGAATTAGCCAATCTGATGATGTGCTTTCCAAGTTTATTACTATAGTATATTTAAAACCTGCTATTGATTGTTAGAATCTGAAGGTGCCTATTCCATTGGGATTCTAAGTTTGGGCAGAGGGAAAGGTAGAGATGAGTGATGCCAAGTTAATAAGCCACAGAATATTGAACATAAATACAATGACTGCTTTTTTTCACATATAGTGATTGCTGAATGGAATATTTTAGATATTCAGAAATTCTACCAACAGCGTTTTAAGTACATGCACAGGGGCCTTAGTGGATAATGTTGATATTCACCTTCTTTACTTTCATCAGGTATTGGACAACCCTCAGGACATGACTGTTTCCTCCAACTCTTTAAGTAAAAGGGCAAAGTAAAGATTTTGATGGGAAATTTTTTTCTCTTACAACCTCTTCAACTTCTTTGTTCATTAGTAAATGATTTTCTCCTGCATACAACTTCAATTCCACCTTCATTCGACACAATCGAGTGGTGTATAACCTTGGAATGAGCAAACGATGTCAGCACAGATCAGACAAGACAATTCATGTTATAGAAAATTGGAAAATCAAGGACCTTAATGTAAATCCAATAAGAGATCCAGAAATCAAAACACTTGCCTTTCCTTCAAAAGAATGTGACTCTTATGTGATGCCCTGCTGCTTGGCTGACTCTTTATAACAATATTGCTGAACTTATCTAGACGATTGCTATGTTGATGATCACTTAAATGATCACTAGTATGAAGCAGCAGGGATTTTAGAATGTTTCTTTAAAACCTTTGATATCCATCATGTTATTTGTCATTCTACAGTCTCCAAGGGCTTCCATAACAAAGTACCACAAACGGAGGGGCTTAAAACAAGAGCAATTTATTGTTTTGCAGTTCCCAAGGCTAGAAGTCCAACATCAAGATGTTGATGGGACGTTCTCCCTCTGAAGCTGCTCAGGGAGGAAACTTCCTTCTGTTTTCCAGTTTCTGGAGACCCCAGGATTCCTTAGGTGCATCAGCATCTCTTCGAATCCTGCCTCTGTCTTCACATGGCCATCTGACCCATGCATCTGTGTCTTCACCCTCTGCGTCTCCACTTTTGTGTGTGTGCCCAAATTTCCCCATTTTTATACAGTAGGAACAGCAGTCATGTTGTATTAGGGCCCAATCTACTGGCCTCATCCTAACTTGATGACATCCATAAAGACTCTATTTCCAAATGAAGTCACCTTCCTTGATTCCGGGACTAGGACTTGAACATATCGAACATATCATTTTAAGGCACACAACTCAACTCTTAACAGGCAGTATTGATTTTATGTAGTGACTGTGCTGTAATTTTTACCCAGCCAAGCTCATTTGCTTATCTAGGTAATAAATAGATAAACTGAATAAAAGCCATTGTAAACATATTAAAGAGAGTTTCCTTCATGAACTAAAGGCAACTGTCATTTTGTATTGAAAATGTTAACGATGAGATATTATGAGTTGTTTATAAGAAATATCTATAGAATTGAATCAGTTCTCATTATATGAGAGTTTCCTGATTCTTGTAAAACCAGCTTCCACTTTTCTTCAATTGCTCATTCTCTTTTTGTGTTTGATAAAATAATATTGATAGTCTTATTTAAATTTTTCCTAAGTTTAAGCAAAAAACTCTAAGCCTAGCTTAATCTATTGTTCCCTTTGCATTTTTAAGCAAATAGAAATGTAAACTTATTTTTTAATATTAAATATAAAAATAATTTTCTGGTGGTAACTGATCTCTTGACTATATTATACGGAGTTTTACATGGATATAAACAGAAGGAAGTAGTGTTCGTAAAATATATTTTTATTCAGACAACTAGGAAAATTTTAATTCTGAATTTCATTTAGAGGAATTTTTCTCCTCTATAGAAAGAAGATTTATAGCTTTAGCTTTTGCATGTATCCATGCCAGAGAAATGTGGTAGAGCTTCCTCGAGTATACCTAGAGACAACAGGATGAAGTTAACATCGTTTTCACATCTTAGCTGGATTCTATTTCCTGTGCTCTGCCTAATGGTGAGAATTGTTCGTGTCTCTCATAAATGGTACTCATTAAAAAGTTCTCAATTTGTTAATAAAATAGTTATTTCATTAAAGTGGTATTGAATGGATTTAAGAACACTAATTCTGGAGTCAGCCTACCTGTTTCTGAATGCCCGCCTGCAACTGACTAGCATGTGAACTTGGCCAAAGCACTCGTCTTCTCTGGGTCTTAGTTCTATAAACTGATAATAACAATACTAATTTATTACTAAGAGGTTATAAAAGAATGAATTGATTTAATAGGGAAAAAACACTTAGAATAATTCTTGGCACATACTAATCATTATGTTAATGTTAGTTATTTTCCTATTCCTAATTATACTGCTGCTATCATTATTCCCTATTACACAATTATTAGAGGACAAAGCTACAGTGAATAGAGCAGTTGGCTAAAAGATTTAAGACTGCTCTGGCCAGTCTCTTTACTTTTCTAATTTCCCTCACAATTTCCATCACATGATTAAGTAAAGGAGAGAGTAAGAATATTCTGGAATGGTGTCCTCTGACTACATTGCTAATACACCTGGCTCCACACAGAAATATAAAATGTTCTTTTGGGTTTCTCTCCAGTGTTTTTCTGTAATGTATCCAGCATTTTCTAAGCCCTAATTTCTTGCATTAAGAATTGTACAGGTCTAGACAAAGACCTATACATTGAATGTTCATCACAGCTGTATTCATAATATCCTCAAACTGGGAGAAACCTAAAATGCTTGTCAACTGGTGAATGGAAAAATAAATTGTGGTACTTTCATAGAGTGGACTAGTATTCAGCAATAAAAAGGAACAAATCACATGGATGAATCTCCAAAGCATTGTGTTAAGTAAAGGAAATCAGACACAAAAGACTACAGACTCCATGATTGTCTTTATTTGACATTCTGTAAGAGGGAAAGCGATAGAGATAGAAGCAATTAATGCCTGCCTGGGACAAAGGATGCTGGAGTGGGAGAGAAGCTGCAAAGAGTGTGAGGAAGCTGTGGTGGTTGGGTGGGGGTGATGGAATCGATCCAATTTTGAGCCTGGTAATGGTTTTGAGATAGCATACATTTGACAAAACTTATCAAACTGTACATATGAATGGAATAAATTTTACTGTGTGTGAATTTGACTTGAAATTGACTTTAAAAAAAAAAAACAGAAGGGAAGTTAGCATTTATTGAGCACCTGCTACGAATTAGATACTAAACTCACCAGCCAGGCACAGACTTGATATACTCCTGAGCTGGCAGAGAAAATATGAACACAAGCTTATGGATAAAAATATAAAACTGAATTTCCCCATAGACTCCATATAGCTTTGTGATTCACTGGTTTTTATAGTTTAAAACTTAAATACTTTATAAAATACATATGCTACACTTAAAACAAAACTACCAAGAGTTTGTAAGAACCACGAATGTTTGCAAATCTATTTAACTTAACATTGCACTTTGAATTCTTAACTACCCATTTAAAAAATTTTGTTCCTATTAAATATTTCATTTTAAAACTCAATCTCTTTTGTTAATTTAAATGCCATGGTAGAGTATATTGTAAGACAGATTGTATACACCTTTTTAAAAAGTAAATACATATTGTTTCTTTATATTGCAACACACTTTTATTTCAAAACTCCCAAATTCCTTTTGACTTAACTCTCTGCAACATAAGTCACTGTGAAACAGTATTTATTAAGCACTTGCCCTGAGTCCTATGCCTAAAGTCAAATATAACCTCAGACCCTTTCTTTGACTCTTTCAGGGAGATTCTTTTGTGACGATTTGAAGGATACATATCTGGTGATTAGGACTGCCACAATGTAACCACTTCCATGTGGTAGTTTTATACTGCTCTTTGTCTAAAGAGGAAAGCAAAAAAGAAACTTGACAGAATTCAAGAAAGCAGAAATCTTGGCAGTCTTTCAATTGGATTGACATGCCAAGATTTGTATCTTGTAGCCATTTTCTTTCCTTGTTTATGTGATAAATATATGAAAGATCATTACTTTCTCTGTTTTTTGTTTGTGTGTGTGCGTGTGTGTGTGTGTGATACTTCTGGACTGTCTTGGTTTTTTGCCTCTCTTCCATTAGTCTCTAAGTCAGGTACGTAATATTCTATAAAACACACGTATTAAGGAAAGCTCTTAAAAATAAAACCATGTATTGAAACTGAACTCAAAGAAAGAAAGAGGAGATTTAGCCAGAGGTTTTAAGTCTTTTACTCTTAATGTATTTCTTCCACTGCCAATGTGTGGATTCTTGGATAAAGTTCTCAAAGTGTCACTGTTTGCTTATTTGCATAGTTAAAAGATTGAGTGAAATGATCTCTAATAGACCTTCATACTGTAAAATGACTAAATGTTTGGTTTGGAATAAATATGTATTGTGTACTTGAACCTCTTAAATAAATAGTAGATTGATAATATAGAGATTTTTAAGATATGATGGTTACATTTATTCATCAAATATATCATTATTTTCTAAAGAATTTAGAAAGAAAATAACAATTGTGAAAAATATTGATGATTTGTTAGAACATATCATCTCTCCACACCTTTTCTGTCATTTTTGGATATTTAGAAAAACTTGTTAAAATGTGTATTTTCTGTTTTGTACTATAACCACTTTTGTCACTTAAATATTTAGCATTTTCCCTTTTCATTAAACTTGCCATGGTTTTCCTTCTTTCTACTTCTTTGTTCTTACCAATTCTTTCATCTTTCCTCTCTATATTTTATCTATTCCCCAAAGTCTTTTGCTATCTACGATTTGTGTTTTCAAACACTGAGATAACCTTAGGGCATTCATTCTTTTATTTTGCTATTTTGCATATTTTGTAGACTATAGAAGGAATCTTGGGGCTTTAGCACTGGAGGGAACCTTGAGAAGTCAACTCATCTACAGTATTTTCATGTTCATCATTTGGCCATTGTATCACGGTCTTATGGATTGTCAGTCTTCTATGGTTTATAAAACTATTTCTGTGCAGCACAGCGTGGAACCTGGCCCAGTGTCTTACTTAGGGAAGTCACTCCATGGAGTCACTTGCTAATCATTCCAATATTAAATGAAATCTAATATTCTGTTATATCTACTATAAGCCATTAAAATATATGAAGACTCCATAAGATTGTACACAACTGAATAAAAAGTTTGGTTTTATGAAGACTTCTGTTGTTGTTTTGTGTCTCCTTTTTTATACTATTAATCTCTCACTACTTAACAGGGACATAAATATTTCTTGAACAAGAAATGAGCCAGGCCGGGCGCGGTGGCTCACGCCTGTAATCCCAGCACTTTGGGAGGCCGAGACGGGCGGATCACGAGGTCAGGAGATCGAGACCATCCTGGCTAACACGGTGAAACCCCGTCTCTACTAAAAATACAAAAATTAGCTGGGCGTGGTGGCGGGCGCCTGTAGTCCCAGCTACTCGGGAGGCTGAGGCAGGAGAATGGCGTGAACCTGGGAGGCGGAGCTTGCAGTGAGCCGAGATCGCGCCACTGCACTCCAGCCTGGGCGACACAGCGAAACTCCGTCTCAAAAAAAAAAAAAAAAAGAAATGAGCCAGAAGGTTAATGTGGAGCCCTAAGGCCAAGTATGAAATGTAAAGAATAATGACCTCTAAAATCCTTCAGTCCTCTTTTTGTCTACACAGAAACCTAGAGAAAAAAGAGGTTGACAATCAGAGAAAAACCTCATTGCCCTAACTCTGGGACTATAAAAGGATGTAAATATTTCATATAATCATATTATTTCAAAAGTACAGCACACTTCAGAGTTTATAAAAACATTTCCATACATTTACAAATAAATAAACAACCTAAAAATACAGAGACATATGTATTATCTACAAGGTAGTGATGTGCCATTTTTGATTACTAATAAGCACCAGAGTAAGACTGGACCTGGAATTTCACGTATCAGTGCTCTTACTAATACGCTGTAAGATCTTTCATGCAATCAGAGATTGGTTTACTCCAAAGGAAGGAGAGGAATTGAAATGTACAGAAGTGAAAACACTGCTGTAAAAATTATAAGAAATAGACTCCAGCTTTGATTTTGGTATCAAACTGCTGTGTGAGAAACAGGGAACAAAATCTGTTAGTCCTTTTTTTTTTTCCTTTCCTGGGCTTCTGAGTGTTCACTTAGAGTAAGCATATTAAAATATTAATACTTATTTTTCTCAGAAATAAGCTAATTGAATAATCAAATTTGGGGAGTTTTAATTTTAGAGAATCACATTATAGAATTTTTATCTAGTGACTTTACCCCATTAAAGTTTACCTGACATATTTTAGCCAAGATGTAAACTCTGTTCTGAGTACTACTGTATGGTCCATGAATCTTTCCAAGAACTACATCGATTCAGGTATTAGAGGCTAAATGAAGTTCCTTTTTCTTTGAAATTATATTTAAAGGAGAATGTGGCCTGTGTTTAGATTCTTGGAATATAGAGCATGATCAAGAAGCCTTTGCTTTCTACTGTTTTTGCTTTCAAAGCATTCACTGCTGACTTGAGACTTGCACACTTAGAGAAAAGACAACGTTCTATTATTTTTTCAGTCATAGCAAAGTGATAATTTGGGGACTTAAAAAAAAACCAACTCCAGGATAATAATGATATTCAAAATAAATAATGCTCAGAGAAACAATATTAAGGAAGATACAGAAACGTTTGGCACAAAGAAGACATTTTGGTGTTTCTCAACTAGTATTCAGAGCCTGTAACTGTTAAAGTTCTGCTCCAGATGAGGTTGCCAGCACAGAGGCTGCAGCCTGCCTGGCTGAATAATGTCCTTGATGGGTAGTGAACATCTAGGCTGAGAGCTACAAATGTGAAGTCCAGAGGCAAGGCCTCTGCAGTATTACCACTTCAATAGCTTACTCAGCAGGAATTAACATGCAGTTTGAACTGAGTCTTTCCCCCTGGCCACAACACCTAGACTTCTCTTTTTGGATCCTTGACTTTCCCAATGTAAGTTTCATTACATGAAAGGGATGTGCCTAGTGATACCCTTGATGGCCTAACGGCTTCTCTATCTCCCGATAAATCAATAATGTGTGCAGCTTTGGGGCAATCTCTAATTTAATATATAAAAATGTGCATTTATGTAATGCCACCAAGCATGATAGCTCTGAACAAGCCTTTCTTGAAACCAAATTCCTTATTTCTCCACAGGAAAACAAAAGTTTTTGAAACATACACAGGTACAGAGAATGTAATTGACTTTCTCAAAAAGACTTAGCTTGGCAAGTAATGCAAGAAGATGTCCATTTCTGATTTTGGTGTTTGCCTTTCCTCAGGTGGTAATTTATCAATAAAATAAGCCCACAGTAATTCTTAGCAAAGTTTTTCCAATCAGAAAAGTGTTTTATCATATATATTTGAAAGTATTATTCAAATGTTCATTGTGGAGAGAATGATAATTTATTATCTAGGAAGAAGTCTTGAATATTAAGTAATTTAATAGATTGCATAATGGTAATAATAATAATAATTATTTTAAAAACTTGCAATTATCTTCCTAGTTAGCATAGTAGTTAAGAGTATAGGCTCTGGATTTGTTCTACATGGCTTCAAGTCTTTGTTCAGCAATGTTCTAGTTATGCAATCCTGGGCATGTTATTATCATTGCTGTCCTCATTTCTGTCACCTATAAAATGGAAATAATAAATGAATGGCCTAACTCATGTGTGATTGTAAGATTCATATGGCATTCTAAATGCACATAGAATGTTAGGCAGATTGAAAGGGCTCAATAGCTATAATCAATTCTTACAATGACAATTTTATAACTCTGTAAGAGAGAGACTTATATAGCTGGATAGTCAGGTGTGCTTGGTTTCAAATTGCTTCTCATTCCAGAACCTATGCTTTATGTTTTTCTCTTACAAAATTAACCTTCTTCATTCTCTTGGTAGCCTAGGCAACACTCATTTAATGATTTAAACCAAAAATACCATGTTCTGAGATGCCTCTGGGGACACTCATTCAGATAAACTTGACCTGTCTCCTTTATTTCCCATCATTGTCCATTTTTGTATTCCCATCATGGAATCTAGTGTATTCCATTTCACTGTTTGTTTTCTCTCCTTTATTCCCTAGTAGTTTCATGGTAGAGTCCTTGACTGACATTTCTCAGATACTCAACAATTTTTTTTTTTTTTTTTTTCTGAGACGGAGTCTAGCTCTGTCGCCCAGGCTGGAGTGCAGTGGTGCCATCTCAGCTCACTGCAACCTCTGCCTCCCAGGTTAAAGCGATTCTCCTGCCTCAGCCTCCCGAGTAGCTGGGATTACAGGCTCTGCCACCACTCCCAGCTAATTTTTGTATTTTTAGTAGAGATGGGGTTTCACCATGTTGGCCAGACTGGTCTTGAACTGCTGACCTCGTGATCCGCCGCCCGCCTCGGCCTCCCAAAGTGCTGGGATTAAAATCGTGAGCCATCGTGCCCAGCAAGTTTTTTGTTTTCAAAACTGAATTTCAAAATCCATTTTTCACTTGTGTTTTCTTTTAATAACTAAACATTTAGTTTAAAGAATCCTTGTTAGATACTAAATGAACTAAACTGATGTTTCAAAGAATACAAACTTATAATTTATTTCTTATCTAAATTTAAAAAGCAGAGGCGAATACCTCCTAAGGAAACAATACCTAAAAAAACAAAGCCATGTGGAGAGCATAAAGAATGAATTTGTTGGTTATTATACCTAGCATTTGCTGATGGACATTGCTATATGTGTGTGTGTCTGTACAGATACGTACAAATATGTGTATGTACATTCCCATTAAACTCATGAGTGTAGCTGCATAATAGAGTAAGGCCTCAGCCATGGGAATTTAAAGATGTCTCCCTCCCCCTGTCCTCAAAAATTCTTTTCAGGACTAATGAGGCAGCTCCAGAGCACCTAGCAGAAAGAGACCATGGATAGCAATCACTTAGAAGCCATAAGTCCTGAAGCAAAGCATGTTCTGATAGGAAGTAACCCTATCTTATAGGTGTACAATGCCTTATTGTCTATCAGAGGTAATTCATGGGTATTATTCTGACTTGATTATGTCCTTTGATCTTTGAAAGGCAATACATCCACAAAAAGAGCCAGAAGGCTTAAAAAAAGAGAAAAACAAAAAACAAAAGAGTTTAACATCAGCAGTAACAGCAATGAAAAGCTGTGATAGAATTCTTAAGCAGTAGCCACTCTGAAAGCAGAAAGAAAGGCCAGCTCTTAAAAAAGGATGCAGGAGGGCTCTGGCATGCCAAATACTACCAAAGATATTCTTTTATTTTATTTTATTTTATTTTTTTATTTTATTTTTTATTATACTTTAAGTTTTAGGGTACATGTGCACAATGTGCAGGTTACATATGTATACATGTGCCATGCTGGTGTGCTGCACCCATTAACTCGTCATTTAGCATTAGGTATATCTCCTAATGCTAGCCCTCCCCCCGCCCCCCACCCCACAACAGTCCCCAGAGTGTGATGTTCCCCTTCCTGTGTCCATGTGTTCTCATTGTTCAATTCCCACCTATGAGTGAGAACATGCGGTGTTTGGTTTTTTGTCCTTGCGATAGTTTACTGAGAATGATGATTTCCAATTTCATCCATGTCCCTACAAAGGATGTGAACTCATCATTTTTTATGGCTGCATAGTATTCCATGGTGTATATGTGCCACATTTTCTTAATCAAATCTATCATTGTTGGACATTTGGATTGGTTCCAAGTCTTTGCTGTTGTGAATAGTGCCATGTCTAAAACACCAAAAGCAATGGCAACAAAAGCCAAAATTGACAAATGGGATCTAATTAAACTAAAGAGCTTCTGCACAGCAAAAGAAACTACCAAAGATATTCTTAATGTCAAGGGGCATGAGGAAATCTTCTTTCCACAAAACAAATAAAGTGATATGCAAAAACCTGATTGATTGACAGGTAGATAAAGGTGCAAATGCATACACTACAGGAGAGAAACGACTATTGACAAATATTGTATTGCTTAGAGACTGTTTCCACAAATAGCATCTCATTTTATATTAATTACAATACAGTGCAGACAGCAATTGATGCTCAGTAAACCCACCTTATGGATGGGAAACAATTATTTGACATGACTTGCATAGTTAGTAAGTGATGGGCAAAGATTTTGTTAACATCTTCTGATTCCATGAACTATTCTTTGGAGAGAAACCTTTGGGAAATTTTGCTTAATGCTTATCAAAGTATTAGCAGCTCTCAACATTTACTTAATTAATTAACAAATTCTAATAATTGAGCCAGAGACAGTTTCTAATCTGTGCTGTTCAAACTAGAAAACAATCAGAATACAATTGGGTAGATATGGAACAATATACTGGATCTTCACACAGACACACACACACAGACACACACACACACATCTTTTCAGGGTTGCACACAATGTATTTAGTTCAAATGTGGCTAACCTAAACAATTTGCCAAATAGAGCAAGCACCTAAATGGGCCAGAGAGTACCAGCAGAGACATTTTTGGGTCAAAAGGATACCGATCTTTTGTGGTCATTGCCAGCTTCTACTGCTGCAGATGCAAAAATCATGAGTGGAAACATTCCCATTTACTCCCATTATCAGAATTTAAAGAAAATAATCTGTTTTAGAAATAAGCACTGATTGTATTTTAAACACGTCTTGCTTAACTAAAACTGGCTAATCCTATTTATTGCTTGCCTGATTTGCAGTAGGAAGATATTTAAGTGGATGTTCTAGAAGGAATAAAGTGAAATTAAATATTTGCCTGCTTGTGATTACAGGTAAAAAAAACTACTTAAGATGTGAAATCATTGTTTTTCTGAGTTCAGGTCATTATTAAAAATCCTGTGTAACTTCCAGTTTTGTTTTTACTCTGGCCTTTAGTATTTAGTGGAATATAATTTGGAAATACATTCTTAGATCTTAAATATAGGTTAAAGAGTTTTTTATTTTTACTTTAGTTCCTATATTATTTTGATACCCAAAAGTTTAATAAATGTCAAGCCCTGAGTTTTATGGTACAGAGTGCTGAGACACTCAACTTTCTCTTTCCACTCTAAGAATTTGGTTTGGTTTGGTTTCTTTCCTTCATTCATTCCTTCCTTTCTTCTCTCCTTCCTTCTCACCTTCTATGCCTCCTTCCTCCCTCCCCAAACTTTCTCCTCCTCCTTCTACGTATGCTTCTGCTTCATCTGCAGTTTCTTCTTCTTTTAGAATTTTAGCAAAGGTATTCTTTTAGTTAGAAGGAGCTGCTTTAGGCTTGAGTAGCATTACTATCTTTTTCTAGACGGAAACCTTAAGCAAATTATGTAATCCCTCTGGATCTCAATTTCTTCAGCTCTAAAATGGAGCTAACACCTATCTATCTCGTATGGTTATTTGGAGAATCAGATGAAATCACATGTGTGTTAACATTTTGCAATTTCCAAAGCAATGCGCAACTTTTAAGTACATCAGTACTGACTTCCTTGTTTTAGAAAAATGGGCGAAGTGCATCGGTTTTGCCAATAAGATGCAGATAATATAGTTTAAAAATCCTCCAGCAGGTCTAGTTTCCAGATGTGGCTCTGCCCCTGGTCTGTCACTGACTGCCTTGAATTAGAAACTTGAGTTCTGGTGTGTGGGAAACCCTGGATTAGACTCTAGCAATTAGAGCATCTCTTCAAGTGCATGACAGTTTGAATAATAGAAATAAAAATTTTAAGATATTGTATTTCTACTCAGTAAGCAACAGATTTATTAAAATGTAAGTTCATCTTGTACATTTGAAATGACTGTTTTGTCTTCTGTAGTCTTTTTCATACTTTCACTTTTTAATTTTTTAAATTTTCTTATAACATCATCTTAATCTCTGATCACTGTGTCACTTTTACTTTCTTTTTCTCATATCTTATATCCAGTGATTTCTTAGAACATATTCGCATGTTTATAAATTCACACCTCATGGGGCAATTTCAAAAGCTTTGTCAGGAAGTCAACTGTAAATCTGTTAAACACATGAACATAGAGATGACACTGGCAAGAGCATACACTTTGAATTGTTTTTACGTAATATGTATAGATTAGGATAAACACACATAGGCTTCGTGATGGCTCAGTGTCATTATGCATTTCTTTGATTTCCATCTGGCTTCAGGAATATGTATGTCCATGAATTTGGAACATAGTTCTTCTGTACCCCAAATAACTGGCCAATGTTATGATACAGTTTGCATCATCTAAGTTTAGTATGATAACAAAACAAATCACATATTCTAGTCTTTAAACTTCTTTCCACTCTTACCCCAAATACCTTAAGACTACTCTTTGGACTCTAAGCATTCCAATAAGTTATTCTTTTATCCCCCTAAACACTAGTGTAATTTATTAGGAAATCTCCATTTTTATATTCAGTATCTTTTGGTCCAAACAATGTTAACCAGTTGGTATAGAGAACTATTTGATATGCATTTGACATCTACAGTTTTTCATGGCTTCAACAAACTGTTACTGCATCGTGGGTTCTGTTCGCCTGCCAGCTGCTCCTCCTGCTTGAAATACTCAGCAGTTGAGGAGGGAATGTTCACATCCAACCTCTGGTGGATTGCAGCTGTGATCTGTGAGCTCATTGTTCTCCTCTGTGAAGCTGGTTATGGCCTTCACTCTATGCCTATTAATTAGAACATATGAGCAGTTACTGGCACTTTATGAGGAATTTAACAATAGAGACTGAATATGAAATGTGGGACTGCAAAGATGCGCTATATTGCCAAAGTATGAAAGGAGAGAAATGTGAGGCACATTTTTAGCTGTGATTTAAAAGAAAGCAAAAATGAAAAGATTGTTTTAAAGCCTTATTAGCCAACATAGATACATAAAGCATGGTGCAATTTTGCTAGGAGAAAGGAATAAAAGTAGTTTCTATAATGGACTTAAAGGTTGAGAACAGGAAACATTATTATTAGAAATAGGTAACCGAGATTGTAATCCTAACCGATCAAGAATATAATATGAATCTATAAAGAGATTGGCAAGGTTGACGAGCACTTGACAAGAAGTACACTTCTGTACATTTTGTAACAATAAAACATAGCTGAAACTGTGAAGTTCACAGGATTTTAGTGTGCAGCGGCTAGAAAATATAATGTACAGTTAATACAGTGACTATAGTTGAACTGTATCATAAATACATAGTTTGTATATGGCAATTTATCCAAAACCTGGTAGAATTCTATTGGGTAGAAGAAATTGAGTTTTGATAAACACAGTGTTCTCTAAACCCGGAGGTTTAATCTGAACCTTAACAGTAACCTAGCAGTCCATGAAATATTTATCTTGTTTTTCTAAGTATATACATTATTTACTGAACAGTCTATAAAGTATTTACATTGTTTTTCTAAATAAGTATACATTATTTACATTCCACTGTACTTTTTCCTGATTCAGGTAAAATACAGTGCTTGGAAATCACTGTGTCTTTGAAGAGGTTCAACTTGAAATTGGAATGTGGGTGTGTCAAAATATTCAATATCATCCTTTGCCTCTGTTTCTGGTTACCCATCTCGCCTGAATGCCTTGGAAAGAATCTATTTGAATTATACTACATAGGAATAATGTTATAAGCCTACCTAAACTAGGACTATATGTGATTGGTTTATACACCTTTGTAGAATATGAAAGGGTGACCTCTCAGGTTTAATAAAGTGCTTGCTCTCCCTTATCTAAATCATGATTATATGTCTAGTTTTCCTTAAAAATTCTTTCAGACATTTAATACTAAACATGAATATCTTTATTCAAATAAAATATTTTTACTTAGCTTTTTGTTACTTAGTGTTTCCAAGGACTACTAGGTAACTGCAATAATTATAGAGTGAAAGTTCTAATTTCACAACATGCTTACATATGAACACACTCATAAAGATTCAACTATACAATATATTGCTTCAAATAAAATAAAATTAAAACATTTGTTATAGACTTTTAAACATTTCATATAAATAACGGTTTGTTTTAAGTATTCTATGAAGTGCTATAATTGACAGCCCTCAGAATTACATACTGTTTTCTAAATTCCTGCAACTAAATCACTACATTGAGGTCCAGAATAACAGTTTGAAAGTGGCTTCTGAAGTGACTAAGTGTGAGCCTGGACCACCTTAGAATGTAACTCCACAGCCAAACTGCTCTAGGCCACATTGACATTTTTCTTTACAGAGGAAGGTTCAGGAGAAAATTTTCCATTTGATTGTACTTGGAAGGGTGAGATTGAAACCACTAAGGCACAGGCAAAACAAGTCACCCTAATTAGGCATTATGGGAGAATACAGTATAACCACACTAACTGATAAGTAAAGGGTGAATTTCTTCTAAGTTTTAATATTTAATTTCTAAGACAAAATCATTGAAACTAGAAGGACAAAATCCTGTCGTGACATGGTTAAATGTTTCCTAGCATGCAGATTGGTTTTCTTCAGCCATTTATTTGGAAAAATAATATATTTTAGCTCAATTTTCACGATTATATAAGACTTACTACATTATGTAATTCTTATGTAGTAAGTCTTCTATAATCTGTGCAAAGGATACAAGGAACCTTTCAAAATGTTCATGGAAGATGTGTATTATGAAAAATCTATGCATGAATTTCAACAATATTTTATACTAAAATAAGTTCATACTAACTTGCTATAACAGGTCTCAATAGGGTCCAGGTTGAGGTGCTAAGATTGATAAGCCGTAAGTTCAGAAAGAGCCCTTGTCAGAGTAACATGAGTTCTGCCAAAATTAAAGCAGAACGAACATCATGTTTATGGTAAGCTTAGGTGAAAAAAATGATGAAATCGTTGATACTTTACAAAAAGTGTATTGGGATAATGCCCCAAAGAAATGAGCAGTTCAGAAATGGATAACTCATTTTAAAAAGGGACAAGACCGTTGAAGATGAAACCCACAATAGTAGATTAACCACATCAATGTGTGAGAAAAAAAAAAATCATCTTGTTCATGCCCTAATTGAAGAGGACCCACGATTACTAGCAGAAACAACAGCTGACACCATAGACATCCCAAGTGGCTCAGCTTACACAAATCTGACATGAAAGGTGAGAAAAATAAAAGGTGAGCAAACCTTCTACTCTGTGGGTACTAAAACCATTGCACCACAGATAAGCTGCAGACAAAAGCAGAGATTTCAATGGAAATTTAAGCAAGCTTGAAGCATTTCTTTGAAGAATTATAACAGGAGATGAAACATGGTTTTACCAGTACGATCCTGAAGGCAAAACACAATCAAAGCAATGACTACCAAAAAGTTCCAGTCAAAGCAAAAACAGACCGGTCAAGAGCAAAGTTCACGGCAACAGTTTTTTTTTGGGGGGGTTATCAATACATTTTGCTTGTTGATATTTTGAAGGGCCAAAGAATGATAACGTGTTTATCATGAGTGTGTTTTGAGAAAGTTAGCCAAAGCTTCAGCAGAAAAACGCCCGGGACATTTTCCACCAGGACAATGCTCCTGCTCCTTTCTTGCATCCAACATGAGCAATTTTTATGAATTTCAATGGGAAATCATTAGGCACCTGTCTAATAGCCTTGATTTGGCTCCTTATGACTTCTTCTGTTTCCTAAAGTGCACCCATTTTGCTTCAGTTAATAATATTAAAATGACTACATTGACATGGCTACATTCCCAGGACTCTTGGCTCTCTAGGGATGGGATAAATGTCTGGCAACATCACTTACAAAAGCGTCTTAAACTTGACGGAGCTTGTATTGAGAAATAAAGTTTATGTATTTTATTTTAATTACATTTTCCATGAACTCTTTGAAGTTCCCTTGCATTTAATTCTTATGAATAGAGCAATCTAACAAGTTAAACCGTCTGGATAGAACACTTTGCTGCACGTGTACTTAATTCAATATTTATTCCGAGTATATATATCTTGCCTTGTTTCTTTCTTATTTGTAAGGGTAAGAAGTAGATTTGGTATATATCTCTCACAAATCTGTCAATGTCATAATTTCTATATGGAGCTTTCTTCTGAACTTAAGTCACTATCAGAGACTCAGTCTTCAACCCAGATAGACTGAAGTTCATTCCCACTGGAGCCAAAGAGATAAAAAGAGAACTGTCTCCCTTCCCCTTCATACCCAATCCCATCAGTCAAACTCAGATTACAACTCCAGGATATAAAGGGTTAGGTAAATATTTTGCTATAGGTTGGGGTAACTACAAAATGGAATTCTAACAAAGAAGAGAAAAGCTGACCAGCTAACTAAATTGAGCATTAACCCAAGTTTCAAATGAGAGAACCTCTAATCGTAGGCCCTACCCA